>NC_000006.12:3241818-3393333 GCF_000001405.40 Homo sapiens | reverse complement strand
CCAGTTCAGGCAGCAAGTAGAATTAGAGACAGTAGCATCATTTCTCCCTTTCACAGCAAAACTTCTCCAAACATGAGCCCCAAGCATTGTCTCTGGGGCCTTGCTTTCCGTCCTTGCCTCAGTCCACTGAGGCTTTCGTCACCCCCGCTGCTCAGGTGGAATTCCCTTGATAAGATAACCCACAGCCTCCAGGCTGCCACAGGCTTGGTCATTTTCTCTTTTGCTTATCTGAACTTCTCAGCAGTGTCTGACCCAGCTTGACCACACCCTCTTCTTTGCTTTCATGATACCTCACCCACTTGGCTTTTCCCTTCCTTTGCCCTCCCTCCAAAGGTTGGATCTGGGGCTCCTGACATTTCTCCATCTACACTCTCTGTGTGTCTGCTCTGCTAGAAACATGGCACTAATTCACCTCTCCATAGGCCAGAGACTCCCAGGTGTATATCACCAACTCTGACCTCCCTGCTGAGTTCCAAAATCGTATACCCTACTGCCTTGTGGATGTTCCACTTGGATGTCCAGTAGGCATTTCAGATTGTGTGGCCAAAACAGAACCCTCCTTCCTCCCACATCCTCAGAGCCATCCCTCCCTAGAACCATTATCCATGCAGTTGCTCAAGCCAAAAATGGGTAAGAGTCACCCTTTCTTCTCTCTCTCTCCCTTGATCAGCAAATCCTCTCAGTTCTTCCTCCAAATTACATTCTGAGTCCCTCAATTTCTCTGTCTCCACTGCCACCCCCTGAGGCAAAGCCTTTTCATTTCATGCCTGGAAAACTAAGCACAATGGCTTTCTAACTGATCTTCTTGCTTCCTGTTCAGACCTCTACAGCTCATTCTTCACTTACAACTAGGGTGATATTCATACAGCCTGAATCAGAGCTTCTACTCTCCTGCATCGATCTGTCTATATAGTTAGCAATAGCTTCATTTCTGAAAGCACTTAAAACCAGAACAACAGGGATTTAAACAAAGTGGAGTTTATTTCTATCATCAATATAGTCAGTCCTGGGCTGCTGTGGCAGTCCCATGACACTGGGAGCCCAGGCCCCTTCTGCTGTCCTAATCCAGCCAGCAGAGCAGTGGAAAAGAGGAAGAAGGAACACTCCTTCCCCTTCAGGTCACTGCTCAGAAGTCATGGGTACCACTTTTCACATCCCATTGGCCAGATCTCAGCAACCTATCCACACCCAATTGCAAGGGTGGCTGGAGAACTTGGTCTTGTTTTGTACAGCTATGAGCCTGTAGGAAGAAGGGGAGCATGGTCTTGGAGGATGACTGGTGGTCTTTGCCACACGCTCTAACAGCTTCCATCGTGCATTCCAAATGCTACTGCAGTCCATGCTATCTTGCATGGTTTGGCCCTTTGATCTTGCACTGTGTCCAGCCAGATGGATCTTTCAGCTCCTGCTTGCTCCTTAGTTCCTTTGTACTCACCTTTCCCTCTGCCTGAAATGCTCCCCTCCAGACCTCTGCAGGCCTGGTCCGGTCTTGTCACTATGATCGCTTTTCAGTTGATGCCTGTGGAACTTTCTCAGGCTAGCTAGTCTAATCAGTACCCAAACAATTTCTTCAGACTCACCCAGCCTTTTTTAAAGCATCTGCCCTACCTTAAAATACCTTCATTTATTTGTGTATTTGTATCTCCGCATACCACTCATCCACTCTAGAGGAAACACCTTGAAAGCAGGGTCCTTATTGTTCTTGCTCTCCACTCCATTTCCAGTGCTTGGATTTGCACCTGGCACAGAATGGGTATCTAAATACTAGTTTGATGAATGAATGAATTCATGGAACATGATGAATGAATGAATTCATGGAACACGATGAAGATCTGTGCCGCAGTATTGCAGAATAGATATACATATGTGATTCTAAATTGTTAAAGCTGGAAGGGCTAGACTTTTTAGTCCAATTCCCACATATTAGAGATATATCACAAGTGTTTTTGAATAGTAGAGGGAATTTGCTGAGATTTCTCACAAAGCCTCATGACCCAGATGGATTTGGCGTGGATGCCCGAACAGTTGGTGGGATTCAAAACCTGTTGCTCAACCCACATCCTACAGGTATTGATTAATGAATTGATATCAGCAAGAATAAAGTCTCCATGAGCTGGTGAGGACATTTGTGTGCAAATCACATTTCCATGAGCCCAAAAGGGGAATGGTGAATAATGAATGATAACCTAGAGTCACTCTCTTCCTTTTCCTTACCATTACTGGTTGATTCCCCCGAGTCATTGCTGTTATTTTCATTGTAGCTCCGTGAGAGAAGGGACAGGGCTGATCTTGTATCTTCTTGTCAGGGGCATTTTTGGTAAGTTTGAGAAATTTTTCATCACTCTAATGAGTCAGGGTATGATTCTCTTCATTCCATTCAGGCAGTTGACCAAATTCACGGAAAAAGAGGCGCCAACATCAACAGTAAGTGTCATGGTTCCCTCAGATCTCTGGGTGCGGCTTCTGGGCAGAACTCCAGCTTCCGCATTGGAAGCCAGTGGTTTGGCAGATAGGCAGCATATTATTGAAGCCTGTAGGGCCTGAGACTGATGTTTAGAATATAAATGTTCAGTGATGATGTTTAGTACACTCCATAGCCCCACTTGGGGTCCACTGATACATACCAGGCTCAGAGATGCTGAGTGGCAGCCAGCTTTTGGTGCATTGAACTGATCCATAGTGAAATAGAACCATAGTGGCCCCAGTGTGTACATCTCTGCATTAGGTTATTCTTAGGTAACATTTAAACCTGCAAGTGAACCCGAAGTGTACCTCAGAACTCTAGGCCCCGGGGAGCACTAGAGTTCACTCCAACTGTGTGGCTTTCTTCTCATGAGAGATCCTGTGGACTAAGGTCATGGTAGATGTGAACAGAATTCTTAGCCTTCTCATGTTAGGTTGGCACTTGGACTTAATTGGACTTTGGGGAGGGAGGAGAGAGGGAGAGTGGGGCAGAGAAGAGGGATGCAGGATCTACTTAGATCTCTCTGCATTCTGACAGAGGGGCATCTTTTAAAATCTAATTGAGTAGTATTCTGTGATTGAGGCCAATTACCTGAGATGGCTGAGTGTTTCAATTTCCAGGCAGTTCTGCTTTCTTTCTTCGGTACCTTTCCTCCTCGGTGTCATTGGATGTGAAGTTTAACATAGGCCTGGAGGTTATGGAGAGAGCCTCATTCCTTTTCCTGACTGTGGCTCACCGCTGGTTGCTGTTCCGGATGAGCCCACGGACGGATGGTGGCAACTGGCCCAGTGATGCCGTGCCAGGAGAACTCTGTTCATTTCATCCCAAACCAGGCCTTTTTTTGAAATGCAAAGTGATGATGTCACTTTTGTATTTTAGCCCATCCTTTGACTGGCTGAGTCTTATTTTTGGAGGATGGGTACATCAGCTTTGCGAAGTTAGCCAAAAGGCAACAATGAGAGCGAATCTTTGAAACCGGTTCCAGCAAGGCCGTTCTCCACTAACGGGTGTGGTGCTGTGCAGTGGATTCCAAGCAGCTGGCAGCAGCCTGAAATGCACGTACCAGCTCCCTTTCCCCTTATGCCTGCTTTGCAGGGGTGATTCTGATCCTTCGGTAAGTCAGGAAGGATAACTTCATCCCTGTACTTTCTCCTGCACAGGCTCTAGGCCATCTCCATGAGTGATTCCACCACCCTGAGGAGTTTAGGGCTTCATGGAGTGGGAGGAGGGGTGACTGTAGTGAGCCTGAAATGGTGGTGAGGCCGGGCAGTAAGAGAGCAGTAGACAGAAAGGATGCCAAGCACTCTGTGGAGACATTGTCTCTGTTCCTCGCCCCACCTCCCTGCTGAGAGAGGCCTTCCCTGACTGCCTCCTCAGCGCTCACCAGCTTGTTTCTCTGGTCACAGTCTCCTACTCTAATTGTCTGCATAGACTTCAATTTCAATTGTGATAGAAAACATATCCCATAACATTTACTATCTTAACCATTTTTAAGTGTACATTTCAATAATGTTAAGCGTATTCGCATCGTGCTTCTGTCATGCCATTCAGCCCCAGCACTTTGTTGTTGTTGCTTTTTTTTTTTTTTTTTTTTTTTTTTTGAGACAGAGTTTTGCTCTTGTTGCCCAGGCTAGAGTGCAGTGGTGCAGTCTTGGCTCACTGCAACCTCCACCTCCCGGGTTGCAGTGATTCTCCTGCCTCAGACTCCTGAGTAGCTGGGATCTCAGGCATGCTCCACCACACCCAGCTAATTTTTATATTTTTCGTAGAGATGGGGCTTCACCATGTTGGCCAGGCTGGTCTCGAGCTCCTGACCTCGAGTGATCTGCCCGCCGCAGCCTCCCAAAGTGCTGGGATTACAGGAGTGAGCCACCACGCCCGCAGCCACCACAGAACTTTTTCATTTGCAGAACTGAAACTCTGGTCTGCAAAAAATACGAACTCCCCATTCCCCCTCCCCACAGCCCCTGGGAACCCCCATTCTGCTGTCTGTCTCTTTGAATTTGACAACGCTAGGTACCTTATAAGTAGCATCAGATGGTATTTGTCCTATTGTGACTGATCTACTTCAGTTAGCATCATGTCTTCAAGGTTCATCACACTGCAGCTCGGGACAAGATTTTCTTCCTTCTCAAGGCTGTATCATGTTCCATTGTATCCATGTATCTGTATGGATGGACCGCATTTTGCTTATCCATTCATCAGTTGATGGAGACTTGAGTTGCTTCCATGTTTTAGCTGTTGTGAATAACGCTGCTATGAACTTGGTTGTACAATTTCTGAGTACCTTCTTTCATTTGTTTTAGGCATATACCCAGAAGTGGGATGGCTGGGTCATATGGTAATTGTATTTTTATGTTTTCGAGGAAGTGTCACAGTTTTCCACGGTGGCTGGCTGTTCCATCTGACATTCCCACCAGCAGGCCACAAGGGTTTCAGTTTCTCCACATCCTCGCCCAAAACTTGTCATTTTCTTTTTTGTTTTTGTTTGATGGTAGCATTGTGATCTGCATACACTTTCCACTCTGATGTTTTTGTTTATTGCATTTTGTTTCTGTTTATTGCATTTTATTGCATTTTATTGCATTTCTGCCCTCCCCCATGAGGAAGTATGTGAGCTCTGTGACACCAGCACTTTCACCTGACCTATTGAGTCTCACGTTCCAAAGCACTGGATACATTTGTTGGATGAGTCTCCTTCGTTCTTTGTTGAATGAACCCCCTTCTGTGTTTCTGTGGCGGGCTTGCCCTCTCCCTACATCTAGGCCAGTGAGCCATTTTGATTTTACAAAGTCAAGGGCTGCACCAGTGATTTGAGTGCTTGGTTGTAGCCTGCATCCGGTTTTAATTTGATTTTAGGATAACTGGTGGGAAAAATTGCACTTGCCAGAGGGGACTTGTTGGGCTTCTCTTTCAGGCAGCAGGAACAGCACGAATTCCACCGAAAGGAGATGCCGTGGCACAGACTGTCGTGGGCTGCCAGGACATCCTCGCTGCGGCCTGCCTTCTCCTTTCCTGCCACTCACCCTCAGAGAACTTTATCAGAGAAGCCCACGACTCTTGGGTTTCGTTAACTCTTTGAATGAAATATACATATACTTACTTGTTCACCATATTTTAAAAACATTTTAAAGTAGAGGAGTGGCAAAAGCAGTACAGTTAAAATAATTTTAGACTTACAGAGGAATGGCAAAGGCAGTACAGAGATTTTCTGTAAGCCCTTCACTCACCCGCCTTCCGCTAACGTGAACTCACATAACCACGCTACGGTCCCCAGAGCTGAGAAACGGACGTTGTCGTGGGACTAACTAAACGACGGACTTTCCTTGAATCTCACCAGTGTTTTCTCTACTGTCCTTTTTCTGTTCCAGAACACTCTATTAAATGTAGCTGTGTCTCCACAGTCGCCTCTGATCTGTGACAGTTCCTTGGGTTTGTCTTTTGTGACCTTAACACTGTGATGAGGACAGTGGTGTAACGGGTTGGTATTTTGCAGAATGCCCCTCGATGTGGGTCTGTCTGATACTTTCTCTTGATCAGACTAGGGGGAAGAGCACCACCCTGCTCATGGCGTCGTATCGAGGCAGGAGCTCTGACGTCAGCGTGAGCTGTCACTGGTCACGCTAACCTTCCTCAGTTGAGATGGGGTCTGCCAGGCTTCTCCTCTGCAGTTACTAGTTTTCCCTTTCTCCACTTAGTTTGTTAGGAGTGAGTCACTTTATTTCTTCAGCAAAGGGACTCACAGCTATGAAGGGCAGATAATCCATGTGGCTAGGTACACTGCTGTTTACCTCCTCACTCCTCAAAAAGCTGTCTCTTCTAAACGTGTGTATTTTTTAAAGGTTAGTAGGGTTTTTCTGAGAAACAAAGGTGAAAATCTGGGTGAGGTTGGAAGAGAAGAGTTGTGTGTGGTTGTTGTTGATTTCAAAGGCTGGAGTGGTGGTCTGAGTGACGAACCAGAGAAAGGCCTGCTGCACCCTGGGGTGCCTGCCCCGCCCTGGGGTGCCGGCCCTGTGGAAGCAAGTCCTTGTTCCCCATGTTGCTGCCAGGTCCGTGTGTCAGCATCAGAGTATGCAGACTTTCCAGATGTCCTTCCAGTGGTGCCCTGGGTGGGAGACCCAGTCCCACTGCCGCCTCCACCCCTCCCACGCTGGGTGACCCTGGGGCAGGTCCCCGGCAGTCCTGGATTCACTCTTTTCATCTGTAGAGCAAGAGGGTTGGCCCTGGAAGGCCGTTCTGAGCTCTCGGGCTGTCCCCAGCCACGCTTGGCACGGCTACTGAGGAGCAAGCAGCCTCCAAGCCTGGCAGTGCCAGCCTCCTCTGTGTCTGGAAGAACAAGGCTGCCTCAGAACCCGGAGCCTCCTGTTGGCTGCTTTATTCAGACCCTCCCCCACTTTCCAGAGAAGCCAACTTCTTGAGGAGGAAAGAGAAGCACCAACTCCTGGTGCCACATCCAGGGACCCCAGGGCTGGTTGTGCGTGTGGCGTACACAGAGCAAGCGTGCTCTCCCTTCTCCTTCGCTCTCCAGCCTGAGGCTTGTCTGCCCTCCAGCTTGGGCCACCGCCACCCTGAGCAGCCTTTTCTGCCTCCCCTTCCTACCTCCCCTGCCTTGGGTTTCTAAACCCCTAACCGTGCACTGTCAGGGCACACTGGCTTCCCTGTGATGCTCCCAGCTAATGTCAACCCAGATCATTAATAAATCCACCTCGTCAGGTAATGAGACACCCGGGAGGGGTGTGGAAAGGTGTGAGTTCTTCAAGCCGATTGAAGTCCCCTCATCAGTGACCACAGGAATGGGCATGAATGGGGAATTTGAGAGCCGCATCATTTAGAGTGAGATGTGTCACATCTGGCAGCGTCCTGCTCAAATGCGGGGCTTGGGTGTTTGTTGCAGTATCTTGGCAGCCTAATAGGCTATTCTGTGGATGTTCTTTTTGGAAAAGAACTGTGAAAAAAAATGAGATGACCACATTTCCCTTTGCAGTATTCTAGCTCTAATACGTCTCTCTGTCCTGGTAACAGAGTGCTCTCTGAGGAATGTTGTTTGTTTTGAGGACAGGGAGTTTTTGTTTTTCATATGGGCCAGTTGCAGGCACATGTGTTTGTGGGCAGCCCTGGTCAGGAGTGGCTGGCACTGAGCATGGGCTGTGACTTCAGAGGACTTCCCCAAGGAGCCCAGACTTGTAAGGGAACTCAGACAATTAGCTCCAACAGTAGGGGACAAAGCTAATTTTTAGTAAACTTGTCAGTTGTGTGGTTCAGCTAAGGCACCTGTGTTTTACAACTTTCTGTTTGATCATGGTAAAATACACATACCATAAAATTTACCATCTTAACCTTTTTTTTTGTTTTTTGAGACAGAGTTCTGCTCTGTCGCCCAGGCTAGAGTGCAGTGGCACCATCTCTGCACACTGCAACCTCTGCCTCCCAGACTCAAGGACTTCTTGTGCCTCAGACTCCCAAGTAGTTGGAACTATAGCCATGGGCCACCGCACCCGGCTAATTTTTTTTGTATTTTTAGTAGAGACAGGATTTTGCTGTGTTGGCCAGGCTGGTCTCAAACTCCTGGCCTCAAGTGATCCACCCACCTTGGCCTCTCAAAGTGCTGGGATTACAGGCATGAGCCACCGTGCCCAGCCCATCTTAACCATTTAAGTGTATGGTTCAGTGGCATTAAGTTCATTCACCCTCTAGGGCACCCCTCACCACCATCCATCTCCAGAACTCTTTTCATCTTCCCAAACTGAAAGTGCACCCATTTAACAACAAATTCCCATTCTCCCTCCTCTCCCCAGCCCTTGGTAACCGCCGTTCTCCTTTCTGTCTCTATGGATTTCACTACACTAGTGCCTCATATAAATGGATTCATACAGCATTTGTTTTTCTGTGACTGGCTTATTCCACTGAGCATAATGTCCTCCATGTTCAGACATGTTGCAGCAGATATGAGAATCCCCTTCCTTTTTAAGGCGGGATCGTATTATATCGTATGGATAGGCCACATTTTGTTCACCCATTCACACTTAGGTTGCTTCCACATTCTCGCTATTGTGAATACTGCTGCTGTGAACACATGTGTGTGTTTTTGAGTTCCTGCTTTCAGTTCTTGAAGGACTATACCCAGAAGTAGAAATGCTGGATCATATGATTTGGGGGACTTTTAAAATCACTGTGTTCTTTGGAGGCTATCTGTGAGGTTCTGGCTTAACTTACCATAAGCATTAATGAATAAAAGTTTTTATTGACATTTTTAAAAATAGAAATAACAAGCAAAAAGAATGTGGTAATTATTTGGTAATTAAGGTTCAAGTTCAAACTAGGTAGTGTGATGATGAAACCAAAAGGCAGCTCTGTTCCGTGATTTATTTTCTTTGTATCATTATCTACCTCCATGTTTATTCTTGCCACCAGGAAAATGTGTTTTTTAAGTGATTTTCCCACTGATATGATTTAGAAGTATTTATAAAGTATTTACAGCATTCGTAATTTTTACTTATCTATACTTTTAAAGGATTAAGAAACATTCTTAGACAGAAATGCTTATTTAACATGAGTCTGAGATTAAAACCTATTTTTATAAAGCAGACGTATGATAGGAGATTGTTTACTTTAGAGAAGGAGCAACCACTTTGCAAAGATTCACTGTGAGATGTCTTTACAATTGCAGCCCTACAGGTGCATGAATATTTAATTCAATGTACTAAAAGTCAATTTATACAAAAATGTTTTCTCCTGCTTGTAGCAGTCTATAAGCATCTGCTATGATAATGAAGCACCTCATGCAATTTTGGCCTGGCACCGTTTTTGTTCTTCTCAAGTAATAGGGGTGTACATCATTACTGCGGACATCCGGGAGCTGGCACCGGTCTCAACCCAGCAGAAACCTGAGGGACTTTAGGGTACCAGAGGAAGCTGATGTTGCCACAGCCAGAAGAATCTTGTAAAAAGGCAGCTCTGATCATGTCACTTTACTCCATACCATAAATCCTTCAAAGGCTCTCATTGCTTTTAGAATAAAGGCTTTCTGTGGCTGGTCAGGCGCATAGTAGGACCTCAGGGGGCCCTCTCAGCCCCGTCGCCCGCCCCCACCTCACTTGCTCTGCCTGTTTTGCTGAGCTGGTATCAGTTCCTTGAAAACCTTGCAATCTGTGTCATCACTGGACTTTCGCCAGAACACTCTCCTGTGACTTTTTCTCAGGGTGAAGTTTGCTCATAAAGTCCTCAGATAAGGTTGGCGCCACTTTTTCTAGGGATTTTCTTCTGACCCCTCACATCAGAGTCAGAGGCCCCTCCTCCGTGTGCCTGTAGCACTCTCCACTGTCCTAGTCACAGAATCATAGCGCTCGTCACACTGACTCTGTGTTCAACATGGTTTGGTTTTATTTAACCACGGAGTAGATATAAAAATACTAATAAGATATATGTCAGCTATAAAGGATTCTACACCGTGCACGTTCATGTACTCACTACCCGGCTTTGGTGCCTTTCAGGCACCCTGGGTGTCCCTCCCCAGCCCCACCCTCAGAGAAAAAACCAGCCAGAATTTTGTGTTATTTGTTCCCTTTTCTTTATTATTTTACCTCATCTGTTAGTATGCATAAACAGTACATCATTTAGTTTTGCATTTTTAATAAGTCAAATCATACCGTGTGTGTTCCTCCATACGTTATCTTTCACTCAGCATTATTTCTGAGATGCCGCCTGTGTTGATCTTTATAGCTTTATCATTTGTTTGTTTCTCTGCTGTCTGAATATGCTGCTATCATTTGGGCTGTCATTGCTTTTATACATCTCTCTATTCCTTCTCTTTCCCTTACACCCCCATCTTCACCCTAACACACAATTTTAGTCTCCAAAAGGAGTTTATCTTGCTCGTTGTTATGTCTTAGGATCTGGCATAAGAAAATGTTTGTTAAATGAAGTGCATACCCTTTGGTCTGAGAGTCTGTCTGTAAACAATGAGTGAGTTTACCATTCCATCATTCCATCAGTAATCAGCAGCAATGCCCTTCTTTGGCAAGAGCTCTTTCCTCCCTACACCTTCCCTTGCTATAATACTAGACTAGGACTCAACAAACTTTTTCTGTAATGTCCCAGATGGCAAATATTTTAGGCTTTGCAGGCCATATGTTTTTTGCCACAGCTACTTAATCCTGCCACCATAACATAAAGCAGCCATAGATGATATGTAAACAAATGGGTGTTACAATAAAGCTTTATTAACAAAAGCAGGCAGTGGGCCAAATTTGTCCCACAGGCTATAGTTTGCCAACCTCTGTCGTAGATGACTCACCTGGTTGGAAGGAAGGACAATGTTGCTACTAGGTCAGAGATGGGAAACTTTGATCACAGAGCCCAGGGGGACTCGCCCAGTCTATTAATAGTACAGGCAAGGATAAAGCTGAGCTTGTGATACCTCATAAGGCCTTGAGGCAAAATAAAAGTTGAGGGAGAAAGGTAGCAATTTTCAGACTAGGGCGTAAGTGCATCTTAAGGGTCAGTATGTTATGCATTGTAAACTACGTTACAAAGCCACAACTAAAAATACTACCATGAGATTTGAATTTTAGGCTGGGACAGAGTTTAGCTATTCACCTCACTGTCCTTCATCTGACACTTTCTTCCCTGATTCATCTCCAGCATCTGAGGCTTGAGCCTGGCTGGCTGTGCATACTGAGGACTAAGAGTTGGTGGCTCAACCCTGTCACTCTGTCAAGCATGCAGAATAGATTCTCATGGAGAAAATATTGACTTATCTTTGTTGAACTGAGAGAGCAGAGCAGCATCCTTGAAGAGCTCTAAGTACAAGTGGAGGATCCACCTCCACTGAGTTATTCCCCTTATGTTAAAGTGGACCCCCTTGTCATCGTGACATCAGGGTAAGTGAGGCGGAACATTGCAGGGAAAGAGCATGGGCCTGGGGCAGACAGATGGGAATCTGGGTCACTCATAGTCTTCTCATTCTTTAAGCAGGGTGCATGCCTGTCTCACAAAATCATTGTGAGGGGTGTGTCTTGCTCATGGTGGCAGCAAATGAGTCTGAAAGGAGCGTGGCTGAGGGAGGCCAAGAGGATGCTGATAAGAAAAGGAACTAGGGACTTTACTGTGCACTGCCAGGCATTGTTCTAGCTCTTTTCTCCTGATTCCATTCTCACCATAAGCCTGTAAGAAATAAATTCCACTACTGTCCCCCTCGCACAGATGGTAAATGGAGCAGAGAGAAGGCAGGGCGCTGGGCCAGGCTTGCTTGGCTGGAAGGCTGTAGAGCTGGGATTGGGAGCACAGCGTGTCTGGCTGGAGAGTCCCCACTCTTCTCTGCGACATGGTTTATCACAGTGGCTGTGCTGATATTTTAAGCCTGGCTGTTGTTAATTTTTATTGGGGACTGGTCCTGAAACGCCTCACCACTGAGGCTACTCAGTCAGCCCCATTCTGCTGTCCTGTAGTTAGTTGATCCTGCCCAACCTATGGCAGAATAGACAAAAGGTGTCCTAGGGAAAGGTCCCCAAAAAGATCAGAGTATAAAGTTGAAGATGGCTGAGCCCCCACTGTACTACAGTGCTGTGGTTAATGGGCAGATGGACCTCACTAAGGCAGGCTTCTCTTCCTCACCTCCCCACAGAGAGGCCCCAGCAGGCTGGGGAGATGTGGTGTCCCCATGCCTGGCAGAGAGATAGCCACGGGAAGGGACTTCAGTTAGTCCTTTTGATGGTTCTCGGGCTCTGATGAAGGAGACACAGAAAGTGGCCTAGAGACATCAGCCATTCCCCTAAGGACACAAAGCACCCAGGACGTGGTGTCAGTGCCTTCACATACGAGGCATCTCTGAAGCAGTTTCAAAAAGTTGAAGAGATTTCAAAATGCCCATGAGGTTAGGCAGATTCCTGTGACTGGTCCTGACCAATGAGCTGCGAGTGGAAGTGACCTGTCACTTCTGGGCTGGAGCATTCAGTTACCTGTAAGAGACCTGCTAGGCCTCCTGGATGCCGGCCAGCAGCATTCACAATGGTAGCTGCTCCGTCAGCCTGCATCCCCACGTGACAATGACAAGCAGAGACCCACCAGCCCTCAATAGGCATGTATTGTGAATAAGAAATAAGCTGTTGGCATTTTCAGCCTCTGAGATTTTAAAAAGTTGTTACTTCAGTGCAACACAGCTTGTGGCTGATACACAAACTCACTGCAGTTTTCCCCGTCCTTGCTAATAGCTTGATTTTTTTTTTTAATAACTTAATGTGAGTTAGTACTAGCATGAAAGGATGTTAGTGTTGACTTTGGGTGTATAGAGTTTTGTAGAGAGTAAATAGGAAGTTCCAAAATAGAGTCCGGTTTCACAGGACTTTGTACATATTGATTTAAATCTACCGGAATGCCTAGTTTCATGATAATGTCAATAAATGTTTGATTCATTGGTCAGGCCATTGTTGGGCCACTCAGATGTATGGAAATACTATTAGCTGATGCATCCAAATTAGTTATTCCCTGGAATATTCTTCTTACCAATTCCTTATTATTGTGGTTTGAAATAGTTCAGCCTTATACTACTATCTTACTTAACTATGTCAAGATAGGTTAGTGGAGGGGTTATAGTCAAGGCTATCATGCCTGTTCACCCAGACCAATTCATTTCAGTTTGAAGCTTTCATCTAAATGTTTCTAAAGCCTGCTCACCTTGTTGAGTTTGGGTAAGCCACTCACCCCTATGGAGTCAGTGTTGTTCAGATATCAAGCGCTACTCTGGCTTAGAATTCATATTCTATTATTTATGTCTTTAACAGAGATTGTTTGGGATTTCTGTACTCTTCACCCTCTAGCCCCCTCATCCCTCATTATGTTCTCACATTTCCTCTCTTTATCTCTCCCACAGGCATGTGTACAGATGCACGCACGTGCACACACACACACACACACGCATCCACACTCCTTTCTCTCCAAAGATTTAAACTGATCCTGTTCTAAGATCCCTGATACTGGGGAAATGTGTGCACAATATTTATCATCCCTAATAAATGAAACCACAGGAACCCTTTGAAGCCCCTGCTGGGAGCTGAGGGCAGCTCGTTGAGTAGTCATCAGGCAATCTGAGCCCGTCCCAGCTGCATGACTTCTGTTTGAATTGCATAAGTTTCTACGTAAGCACATGCTGCAAAGGTTTAGGTTTTCAACTTGTGTTCAAGGTGATATGAAGCGAGGGTAGTCTTGGTGGGAGAATTTTAGTATTGGGGGAAAGGAACAAATGGCAGCATTTCAGTCCCCAAAATGTTTGTTTGCCTTTCTCTTTCACCTAAGCTAAACTATCCAAAACCACGTGGAAAACGCTGTCTATCCTTCTCTCTGCCCACCCTCGCACACCTCCCAAATCCCCTGTCTAAGCCCTGCAAGTGTAAAGCCTTGAATTTGCTGCATGGTGTTCGATAGTTCTGTGACAGCGTTCCATAGCAGGAGATACACATCTCATTCTGGACAATGAGAAGCACACTCTGAACTTTATCAGGGAGCATTAGGTGGTTTTTTGAGTTCATAGATAGTCATTAAAAAGATAGACCATTCCCTCAAAGAACTCCAAATCCAGCAGGTTTTTAAACTACTTTTGCCAAGAGGAAAGAGCATGTTTATTGGGGGAAGCCGAAGTCCCCTTGGTGGAGGAGAAGGACATTTTAGAATTGTTGCTGTGGTCTAGACTCAACATCAGAGACTAGAACTTGTCTCAGAGACAGGCCAGCCATGGGAGAGAATCTCCAGAGAGCTCATTAAGGGCACCAGAATTACACTGTGGAGAAAACAGGGCAAAAAGTGTCATGCTGGCAGGGAGGCCCAGACAACTCTCCCATAAAGACAGGTTTTGCCTGACCTGCAACTTAGAGCCCAGGCCACGATTCAGCTCCTCCTTCATGTTAAAACCTGACACTGAGGCCAGGCGCGGTGGCTCAAGCCTGTAATCCCAGCACTTTGGGAGGCTGAGGCAGGTGGATCACCTGAGATCAGGAGTTCAAGACCAGCCTGGCCAACATGGTGAAACCCCATCTCTACTAAAAATACAAAAAATTAGCCGGGTGTGGTGGCAGGTGCCTGTAATCCCAGCTACTCAGGAGGCTGAGGCAAGAGAATCGCTTGAACCCTGGAGGCGGAGGTTGCAGTGAGCCGAGATCACGCCATTGCACTCCAGCCTGGGCAACAAGAGCAAAACTCCATCTCAAAAAAAAAAAAAAAAAGAAAAAAGAAAAGAAAAAAAAAGTCTGACACAGAGAGAGGTTCAGAGGCATATCTAAGGCTGGACAGATGGTATCTGAGCCAGGGTGAGAACTTAGACTTCCAGTCTAATGCCCTTCAAGTAGTGAAAGCCAGTCACAGTCGACAGATAAGAACCACATAAAATAGGAGAGGAAGTGATGGCTTTTCAAAGGAAACAATTACCCTGTTGCCTCAGTAGCAACAGCAGCAATGGTCGCTTTGTAAAAAGTTTTAAAAATACCCTCAAGTCTTTCAGGAGTAAGTGCTGAATCACGGGCCGAGGTCTGCAGGTGCTTTCACCCTTCTATTCCTGGGAGAACGGTCCTGGTTCTCACCACCCATGCCTGATGGACTTCGGGCCATGTTGACTTCTGACCTCTCAGTGCACCCACCTGACAAACATGGGCCCAGCTAGGAGGGAAAACGACCAAAGGCTT
Source organism: Homo sapiens (assembly GCF_000001405.40). Taxonomy (NCBI): domain Eukaryota; kingdom Metazoa; phylum Chordata; class Mammalia; order Primates; family Hominidae; genus Homo; species Homo sapiens. Next base: position 3,378,201 of record NC_000006.12, on the reverse strand, counting down.
CCAGGTCAGCTGAGCAAAAAGTACAAAGTGTTCGGAGCCATCGGTGATATTAAATGTTAAAGAGGAGTTGCGGGCATGTAGGAATCAGTCATAAGTGCCCTAGGTATTCTTAGGTATGTGGCGTCGTGGTGGTTTCCGGGTAAACAGATTCCATAACAACCATTGCCCTGCCCAGCAGACACCTCGGGACTCCTGGGTGTCCTGTTCCCTGGAGGAATTGCTCCCAGGAGCTGTGAAACAGCAACATCCTCAGGCTGGCAGAACTGCTGATACCTCAAGTGCCCTGTTGTTCTTTTGGTGGCTGCTGGGCAGTGGAAGGGGCACGATCCCCTCTGCAGCGGCTGTTCTCTGGAGGAGCTGAGACTGCCTGTATGAGGTGTAAGTACTTCCCTGCCAGGGCCACTGTGCTAGTGTCATTCCATCTTGGGATGTTGTCAATAGTCTCCTCACTCGTTTCCCCACCTACAGCCTCTGCCTGGCCCAGTGCTGTTCTCCACTGCTCATTGTCTTTCTTTAGTACAGCCTGAGATCACTGATCTGCAGCCTAGACACGTTCAGTGCGAGACTTGGAGGGGCACAGTTTACTCCTCAGGTCCTGTGGATGCAGCTGCATGGGAGGGGAAGGCATTAAAGCCATAATGGTGCTTTCTGCCTTCATGCTGCCCACAGACTGGAGAGAGCACACACGTGGCACCCAGTCACTGCACCATTCAGGCACAGCAGGGTGGCCTCCCCTGCCAGAGGGTCCAGGAGGCCTGGCAGAGGTCTGGCAGTTGGTGGGCTCTCTTAGCATTCATCCCACTGCTTTCCATCCAGTGTTCCCTCTGTTGACCCTCTCCATTCCATCATTCCATCAGTAATCAGCAGCAATGCCCTTCTTTGGCCAAGAGCCCTTTCCTCCCTACACCTTCCCTGGCTATAATACTAGACTAGGGCTCAGCAAACTTTTTCTGTAATGTCCCAGATGGTAAATATTTTGGGCTTTGCAGGCCATATGTTTTTTGTCACAACTACTTAATCCTGTCACCATAGCATAAGGCAGCCACAGATGATATGTAAACAAATGGGTGTTACAATAAAGCTTTATTTACAAAAACAGGCAGTGGGCCAAATTTGTCCCGCAGGCTGCAGTTTGCCAACCTCTGCTCTAGATGACTCACCTGATTGGAAGTAAGGACAATATTGCTACTAGATCAGAATTGGAGCTCTCCACCCAGCCCTTCCCCCGACACCTTCATGTGGACCCTCTCCTCCATCTGAAATGCCCTTCTTCCTCCATCTACCATTTGCATAGCCACATTCTATCTGTTTCTCAGGGACCAACTCAGAAGGCCCTTTTTCTTGAAAGATCTTCTTCCCATCTCCCCCACCCTCCCAGCCAGGAGGCCAGCCTCACTCCCCAAACCCCTGCAGGACCTACTTCACTTTTGCCTTTCTTACAGGATGCCTTCTCACTCCAGCTAGTCTACGAGATAATTGTCTGTCCTGTCCATTTTTGTCCAAATGACCTAATACAGTGAACTGTGCCTAAATACACTGAATGAAATGCTTGTAAAATAAGCGAATGATGTAAGGATTGATGCTGGGTGGCTGAAAGTCTTTGGAAATTTAGGAGAAGGGAAAGAACGGCATGAACTTTGAAAGATAGGAAAGTCTCCCTATGGAAGGAAGGACTCGAGAGGGAGGTATTTAGTTGGGCAGAAGGACAAGAAGGCACATTCTGGGGTGAAAGAGGCACAGAGCTACTGAAATGGGAGCTACAGGATGTCGGTGGGGGCAGGCAGAGGGAAGGTGCGAGGTGAGGGGCGGTAGGGACTATAACCCAGCTCAGAAAGGTCAACTTCAGAGGAGGACAGTGGGAAGGTTTGCTTTGCTCCGTGATATAGAGTTGGTTTCCTTTGGCTGGGGCACAGCAATGGGCAGATGCGTTGCTCAAATCAGACGTTGAAATGAAGAAGGAGGAGGAGGCAGCTGGGTGTCCAGTCTTCAGTCTGGTTTCCCGCTAATGGACAGAGCTCTGCAATGACTGCACAATAAACCTTTTATTCTGAAGCCAGCATTGGTATTTACTGATATGCTCTTACTGGCACAATTGTTTAATAAAATCTGCACGATCTTTATTGCCTGAAAAGCAATGTGTTTTTCCAAAGAAATGTATATGGCCATAAAATATTCAAAAATGAAATATGGAAGAGGCTTCCTAATGCCTTCTAGAAATAGAATTGAAATACACATGGCACCAAATGAATTTATTTCTACTATTAAAATTCCTAATTTACCAACTACTTAAAAGGCAACTTCAAGTAAGCAGAATAGGCGTGTGTTTTCCTCTGAGGGGAATATTTTAATAAGAATAGAGACAGTTGATAGATAGATATTTGTACCTGGATCTTTTCATTCTGCTCCATTAAACCAGAAATTGGTCTTTGCCAGTAGTGACCAAGTATATGTGTCCAAAGCAAGATGATTAACTGGAAGGGGGCCAATTGCAGAAGTGCTTATCCTGTCATATTTAATACCCACCTTATATATTCAACACAGATATACACATTAGAGGCTTTAAATCCCCTCTGTGGTGAGAGAGACTATACACAAAGCTGTAAATTACATCTGCTGAAAATAGGTTGAGCAGTTTCTCCCCAGAACTCATATCCCTGCCCACAGTGATGGCCTCAGCACTAGCCCACTGGCCCACATTGATTCTGGCAATAAAGCTCACTGTAGTGCACCACTACCATAGTCAGCGAATGGTTTAGTTGGACGCATAACTGTGCTGAATATATTGAAAAGCAATTAGCTTCCTGAGGGTCAGTAGCTGACATTCCATTTCAAAACACTGAATGTTGTCAGATATAATCATGAGAATTCATCAGACTCTACAGAGTTTATAAGCAATAATTTGACAGGAGGTGGTTTGCTTTGAATCTGGGAGTACTGAAAATGTTAAATGATGAATAGAGGTGGATAAACCAACTATCAACTGGTTCATTTTTTTCATAGGCTTGTTTGTCATTTTTTTCTGCTGATTTTTTTCTTCCTGTAGCTTGTTGTCATTTGAAGTCTCACTTCTTATCGCTATTGAGATGACTGTTTTCCTTTGTGCATAATTTTGTGTGAAATAAAGAATGTTTGGATTTTCTTCCAAGACATCCTTACTCCCATCATCAGCACCGTTGTTCATTCAGTTTTCTGCGTTTACTCTTCAAAGACCCCTGCCACTGTTAATGAGCTACCAGAGTCCATCAGTTTCCTCTTTAGAAATGGTTCTTAAAAACCACAGCCACCACCCAAATTCTAACCTGAGTCTATTAGAATCCTAAAAGGATAAAGTGGGAAAGAATGTCAGAGATGGTTCTCTGAGGTCTTACTTGGACAGATCTAGCACTGAAACTGCCTCCAGTTTTGGGTTTGGCCTGTCCCCAGGGCTGGCTGTGCTGGGTGACATTGTGCTGAGATTCCAGCAGCAACTTGTCAGCTCCTTGCTCTGCTTCAGGGCTTCGGCCCAGCTAAGCCATCCCTCTCTTCTGCCCCCAGATTCATCTTCCCAAATCCTCACTTTCATTATGGTCACTTTCTTTCTCACTGGCTACCAATTACTTTCACACTTTTTTTACTTAAGGGTCATCATAGTTTCAGCCCGCCCAGTTTCTCCAAAGCACACCCTTTATTCCAGCCAACCTTCCTTTGGCTCCTCAACTTGTCGCCCTCATTGCTGGCTCCAGCACTTTGCTCATGTTGTTACTGTCAGGTAGATTGCTAGTTTTCCTTTCTGACTCTCCAGGATTTACCTTCAGGATCCATCCTCCATGTGTTTCCTTCTGCCTGTCATCACAGGCCTCCCAGTCCCCAGTGGTTATTCTCATCCACCCAGCTGGCGTCCGACCGCTCACCATGTGCATGGTGCCAGGGAGGGAACCCAAAGATATACCAGGCTTGAGCCTGGACATATAGCTGAGAGCCCAGCATAGGCATTCTGACTTGCACACAAATCATTCTGCTGCTGGAGAGGATGTCATAAATGATATTTAACAAAAGAAAAAGATGTAGGTAAAGTTGGGCCTGTGTTTATGCTAGTGCAGACCTCTCTCTATGTCCAGAGAGAGGTAGTATGATATAATGGTTAAGTAGTGAGGTTTTGAAATCAGAGGATGTGTTGCTGATAACTAGCCTTGTGACCTTGGGCAGATACTTAACCTTTTTGTGCTCAGCTTCCTCATCTGTAAAGATGGAGATAACAAAAGTACCTGCCTCCCAAGGTTGCCGTGAGGATTGCTGGAGTTAACGTCAAAGTGCTTAGGACAGTGCCTGGCACGTAGTGGGCACCAGATGAGTGTCCACTGTTCACTGTTACTGCCATCATCATCATCTCCATTGCTGCCTCCTTTACTGGACCGTAAGTTTCTGAAGGGCAGCGATCACAGTGTCACTGTCCCCTGAGTGTGTAATTGGTGCCTGGTCAACACTGAATGGAACAATAGGTGACCTGCTGTTGCTGCTGCTTCCTCCTCTTCTTCCTCCTCCTCCTCTTCCTTTTCTTCTTCCTTTCTTCTTCTTCTTTCTTTTTTTTCTTCTTCTTCTCTTTTTCTTCCCAGCTTCTTCTTTTGATTTAGGGTGGGTATAGTCAGAGCCCTCCACCTCTCCCCCAGGCCTTCCTATGCCTCACAAAGCACTGCTCCAGAAGAACAGTATTCTAAAATGAATTGGCTGAGGATGGCTGTGTCAGGGGTCCCCAAGACCACCCCCAGGTTGGCTGAATAACTGGGAACCACAGCACTCAGCATATAGTTGTACATGTGGCTATGATTTATTACAGCAAAAGGACACAGAGCAAAATCAGCAAAGGGGAAAAGCAGATGGGGCAAAGTCCAGAGGAAACCAGACACAAGCTTCTAAGAGTCTTCTCCCAGCGGAGTCACACAGGATGTGCTGACTTCCCCCACATGGGATTGTGACAACACATGTCCAGGGTTGTCTACCAGGGAATCGCACTAGAGACTTAGTGCCCGGGGGGTTTTGTGGGACTGGTCACACAGGCACAGGCTGCCTGGTGCATGCCAACATCCCAGACTCCCAGAAGGAAAGCACTTGCTTGGCACAATCCACATTGTTTGTGAGACATCTTAGGGAAGATCAGTTAGGGGACAGTGTTAACCCTTCGGAATCCAACTTCCCAGATGCCAGCCAAGAACCAGCCTCGCAGGCAGGCCTTCCTAAGCAGAGCAGCCTCAGAACTCATGGGTTAATTCTTTCCTGCATGATAACATAGGCTGAAGGCACGGACTGGGCAAGCTTTTGGCTAATTGGAGTTTTACGGAAGAATCCTGACTCTCACTTAGTGTATTTTAAGTATTTCATAAATGTTTGGCGATGAAATATAATGAAGAGAAAGAGATTTGAGATCGACATTGTGAAATAAAAACAAGTCAGAATTTGGAAGAGAATGTTGGCCTAGATTGTCCTAGGACTTGCGCACCCTGAGGCTCCATATCTAACGCCCCGGCTGTGCTCCAGCTCCCTGGGATGCTCATGGTCTCACCTGCTGCTCCCAGCTGAGCTGGGAGGCTGCAGTCCATGCTGAGGGCCCTGTGCATGAGACATGGGGGGAAGCCACGGTTTCCTCAGGCCACGCCACCAGTACACGACAGAGCTCCAGGCTGGTGTCTGGCCCCTGAACTCCACAGCCCACATGTGTTCCTTCCACACAAGACAGTAAAGCTCAAGTGTAAGAAAGATCTCCCTGGACTTCTCCTCATGCCCTGCTCTGTCCACCTTACGTGCTGTCAGCAGCCACGCCCATCCCCCCTTCCCAGCACAGCCAGCAGGAGGAGCCTGCAGGCTTAGACCTTCGTGCATCTTGCCACTTTTATTCCACATTTTCAAATCCCTGTTACCTGTTACTGCATTCATACCCTACTTTGAAACACTAGATGGACAAGATTTACTGGCCCGATGGTGTTTACCCTGCTTCAGACTTCCTTGCCCTTCCCTTGCATATTCAGAGTCCCAAGTGGTCCAGCCTCATCACAGGAGTCTGTGCCCTCGAGGCAGAGCTCAGATCCTGGACTAGGTTGCCCAGGTTCATGGCCTCAGCACGGATGCTTCTAGCTGTTTAAGCATGGGCTAGGAACTGTTCCTCAGTTTCCTCATCTGTAAATTAGGGATGATGAGAGTACATACCTCCTGGGATGGTCGTGGGATTAAAGAAGATACCATATTGTATTGATTCTAAGATGCATCCTCCAAAACACACATACTCTTGAGCATTTGTGAATCAGGATCTTACAATCGATGCTGTGTCAGAGGTTAACTCGCAGCTTTTTCTTTCTTGGTGGTACATTCAATAATGGTGCATCTTAAAATCGATGGCATCTTAGGTTAGATAATATACTGTAAAAAGTAGGTAGCACTTAACACAGTGCCTGGCAGGAAATAAATGTTCAGGAGGGTTAGTTGTTACTGCTTTATCAATGTGGTTATCATCATCAAGGAAGGAGATTAGCTAACATTCATTTGGTGTTTTCTGTGTTTCAGTATCTAATTCTTAGAACCCACAAGACAAAGATTTTTATCCCCATTTTACAAATGAGAAAACTGAGGTTCAGGAAGTTCAGGCAATTCCCCTCCACCCATAGAGCTGGTAAGGGGCAGGCCTGAGGGTCCATCCAGGAGTCTAAGCCCCCGCCTACTGGCCAAAGCCAGCTGCCTGTTTTCATAGCCGCCTGCAAGCTATGAATGGTTTTTACATTTTTAAACAGTTGAGAAAAAAAATCAAAAGCTCAATGTTTTGTGACACATGAAAATTTAGGAAATTTCCATTTCAATGTCCACAAATAAAGTTTTATTAGATCACAGCCCTGGCAACCCTTCACTTATATTTTCTATGGTGACTTTTGTTCTCTAGCAGCAGATGCCATGTGGCCTGCAGCACCTAAAATATTTGCCATTTGGCTTTCTTTCTGGAAAAGTTTGCAGATTTCTAGCCTAGCCCTTGGCACTCTGACTTGTGCCCATTTGAGGAAAGCAACGTCTTATTTATCTTATCTTCCACACTTGGTAGGCACTCAATAATTATTTGCTAAAATGACTTTCCATAATCACTCTAAGTCTGAAAAGTAAATCTCAAGTCATGAAAGTTACCATGGCACCAGATAAACATCAAAATAACATCCTCGTCAGCTCGAGGAGAGGAAAGTGAGGTGCAGAGGCTCTCCAAGACTCTTTTTCAAGTAAGTTCATTTTCGTGTTGTGGTATCTCTTGGAGATTAAGTAAAATAAAGTGATTCTAAAGAACAAGGCCACGTTGCTGGGAGCAGCTGAGTGGTAAATAAATCTCAGGTAGGAGCTGTTTTCAGGAAATTGAACACTTAATAGTCCCTGCTGCAGGTCTGCAGAGAAGTGAGTCGTGATGTCCTGGCTTTGAAAGTCCTATTGGTTTTAAGAGATCAATCAAGTTATTGAAGCCAAACCACAATTGACGTTTTCTCTGCATTAAATGTTTGCAAGGGAAGCAGGTGTAGGCACACTGAAGGTCATCGTGAGGACTTGCTCAACTTGGAGTTTGAGCTGGCCTTGGGCACACAGACCTGAGTCAGGTGAGAGGCACTGAGGGGAGCCAGGAGCTCCCACCACTGCATGCTGAAGGGGCTGGGCATGAGCTGCCCCGCAGGCCACCTGGCCACCGCCTCAAGGGCTGTGTGTGTATCTGTGGTTGCAAGGTTGCAGCACACCTGGAGGCTTCGTCTCCAGTGCGAGTGAGCCTTGCTTTCGACACCTGTGCAGAGAAAGCTTCGTACAAAGTGAGAGCCAGGCATGGGCCACCTGCCGTTGGAAGGCACATGCACCCCCACTGCCCCGGTGAGCCTCGCAATTCCTCAAAGACCCACAGTCAAGGCTCTCTGAAGCTTGTTTTAAGCATTTTAGTTGTACTGTTAAATAATTTCCCTTTCAGTCATTTCCCACAGAAGCATAATTCTTAAAAGGGTTTTTGCCTTCCTACGTATGGCTAACCTCTTTTTGTTTTTTGAAAGAAAATCCAAGGAAAAAATAAATTTAGGGAAAAAAAATTCCCAACCAGGAATTTTTTAATGGAAATGTATATTCCAAAAAGTGAAATTCAGCAAAGTCTATTGTAGCCGATTTTCTTATAGTCATCCTGATAAAATTGGATCTATTTTCTTATAATTTGCCGCTTCCTCCAAAAAGAGAAGGGTGATGCTCAACAAATCTTAATTGTGGTTACAGCATACTGAGTTTTTGTTTATTATTTTTTCTCTTGAATGTGGAGATATACCTAAATGTAAGGGAAATTTTCACAAGAAAAAATAGTCGTGCTTGAGATTCATTGAAAACCATTTCTAAAACTGAAGCCATGTTTACATGTGCGTGTGCACACACATTCTAAGCATGAAGCATTTCAACAGTTTTTGGGTTAAAATGCTTGTATGGACTAGTCCAGGGTCCCTATAAATAAGAACCTAAACATTTGTTTATTCCATTACTTTTTTTTTTTTTGAGATGGAGTCTCACTCTGTCACCCAGGCTGGCATGCAGTGGCACAATCTTGGCTCACTGCAACCTCCACCTCCCAGATTGAAGCCATTCTCCTGCCTCAGCCTCCTAAGTAGCTGGGATTACAGGTGCACGCCACCACGCCCGGCTAATTTTTGTATTTTTAGTAGAGATGGGGTTTCACCATGTTGGCCAGGCTGGTCTCGAACTCTTCAGTTCAGGTGATCCACCCGCCTTGGCCTCCCGAAGTGCTGGGATTACAGGTGTGAGCCACCGTGCCCGGCCTATTCCATTACTTCTAATCAGTTATCCATGGACTTTTAGAAAACATTTGTGGATGTGGATACTACTACCTTGAAGGGTTGGAGAAAAATTATAAGGAGGTGATGGTGACCTTTAGAGTGACCTTTAGAATGCTCAGGCTGTAGTCCTTTTTGTGCCACCATTTTTTTTAACCCTTTAGATTTAACTGGGCGAGCAGGGGACAAGAATTCACATGGTTTTTACCAGTTCCCTTCTGCCCAGGAATGTCACCACATCTTTAGACGAAATGCTAGAAGAAGACTAGAGGAATTATCAGCTGGGCTAAATTATTCATGAGAATATTAAGAAGGGAAAAAGTATTTTCATAAAAAAAAAAAAAGTAAACCTCACACAATAGTGACAGTCAGAATTAGGTTAAAAATAGAGCCATCTCTGGGAAAGACCATTGAATTTTAATTAGCTCATCACTCTGAGCAATTCTGGTGTGTCAGCGGGTTCTTCCTTGCCATATAGTCATTTTTATAGGTTTAAGTAAAAATAGGAACTGGTGCACAGCCTAAACAAGCTGCATAACGAACCCACCTTCCTGGCAACTCACATCTTGGAAAGAGGACGCCGCTGCCTGGCCTGATTGGACTTCCTCTCCTGTTTGGCATCTCTACTAATCTTGGCTGTCTTTCCTCACTCATACTGTTCTTGCCCACCCCCATCCCTTTCACAGCTAATGATTCCCCATTCTATTGGATTTGTGTGTGTGTGTGCATAACTTATTGCATTGGAGGATTTGTTTTAATTTCCCTGAAATCTTACAAATTAAATTGCCCATCCTTAACTTTTTCAGTTTTTCATCACTCTGACCCACTTTATGTTGAAATGTGGCCAATTTGACAGAAGCGAAAGCCCCTTCTAAGGCAGTACTTCTGAATCTTATGAATATTTTTGGGTCAGAGACCCCCTTCCAGAATTTGATGGCAGCTACGGGTCCTTCCCCTGGAAAAGCGCATATCTCTTACACACACATGCACACATGCATAGAGTTTCACATAAAGTTACAGAGGCCTCCCGTATCCCTGAACACATTCATGGATCCCAGGTTGAAAATTACATGGCCAAGGAGCAGCTCGGGTTGAGCATGGGGTGCAAGGGCCTCGCGGGGAAGCCTGGCCTACATCCTTGCCAGCACTGGGACCATGTGGAAGAGCAGGGTGTGAGGGGCTGGAGAGGGGAACGTATCCCCAAGATGCAGATGCCATCAAGCCCTTTGTCATGTAGGACCAAGGATTCAAATAAACCTTCTGTTTCCAGAAAGCAGCATTTGTCCAAAAGGGTGGGAAGTGAGTGGTTGTGACTTCCCAGCCCAAGGCCACCCTCCTTTGCTCTCTGCCTTCAGTCACCTTGACCTTGCTCAAGTCCAGTGATGGGTGCTGGGTCTCTCGGTCCGCTGGTGAAGACGCAGAGAGATGGACATTTCTGAATGAGGCTGAGACAGCAGAGAGGACTCAGTGTTCAGGAAAATGAGACTTGACCCAGTGAGAAAAGCACAGAGTCCAGTGTCGGGGTTTTTCCCTGTACTAAGCAGAAGGAAATGTTATTACTGATTTGAGTCCCAGTTGGGGTCACTGGGTGCATTGATGGAGGCTGGTTCCTCTTTTATTTCATGTGACTAGTCTTTAAGTGCTAACAAATAGTTAGGAGTTCTTCCACATAGAAGCCACTGGAAAACCTCACCTAGAATTCACTGTAAGCCCTTCTACCACCACTATGAGCTGTGTGACTTTGGGCAACCTAACTTACGTCCCTCAGGCTCCTCATCTGTGATGGGAACATGAGTGTTTTCCTCTCCGGACTGTAAAGTCATAGAGTAGCTGCCTGGCCCCTGCTATGCACTCTCTGAGACCCAGATGCATCTCAGTCACGACCAGGCTGCCAAGGAATGAGATACAGGTACTGCAGAAGCCTGTTCCTAAGGCAATGGGAGAACAACCCTGTAGGTGCCGTCACAGCCAGCTTGCTAACGCCCAAGATGATGGCATATTGGAATAGACATTTCCCATTACACAGTTAATCACAAGCAAAAAGACAGAGATGTTTTCAATGATGGCCAAAGAATAGGCTTTGAATACCCAACTAACTGAACCAGACTGACCCTTTATCCTGCCTCAAAAATTTGATTTCTGGACTGTTTTGGAAATGTACTTTGACCTTCTCTGGGCCATGAGACTGATGCTCTTGCCACTAATGCAGTTATAACCTCAGGGAAGCAGAAAGCTCCAGGGAAAAGAGCATTTCGCATTTCCTTTAAAATACACACACACTTCCCTCTAAAGGTTTGCTAGCAGATGTTTAGTGGAGACAGAAGGCATCTCGTCAGGAGTTGGTGGGGTGCTTGCAATGATTGATTGCCATGTTTGCATATAAGTAAGTTCTTGTTCATCTGCTCACTGCCTAAGACCTGGTGTTAATCCCCCCTGTCCTTCCTTCTGGAGGAAAATGATTTCTGCCAGGGGAGTTGAGTAACACTGACAAATATCAACTAAGTTTTCATTTTGAGTGGAGGATGGGGTAGGAGACAGAGGTCACTTGCTTGAACTAGGTCTTACCCACCATTGCTAGGATCCTGCCTGTCCAAGGTTCATGGTGGCTTCTGCTGGGGATGAGGTCGGGAGGTGAATTATTAAGCTCTGTGCTTTAAGTCGCTCTCTGAGGCTGATATTTTGGACTGATGTTTAGCTTATGAGAGTGGTCTGTGAAGTTTTGTGAACTTCAGCAATTACATAGATCGCATAGAAGTATTGTCCACATGAGATAGCTTGAATAGCAATAACTCAGGAAAAGTTAGTTTGCATATACTACTGGTAGTAATAATACTAATAAAGGAAGAAGTGATTTGTTGAGTCAGGAACTGTGCTAGGGACTGAGCTTGTATTAACCCATCTCCCCACAACACAGCGAGTTAAATAATTAACACCATTTAACAGAGGAGAATACCATGGCTCACAAGGTGGACCAAGACTACACAGCCCTAACGTAGTGACATCATACCTCATACCCTTCTCTTTCTTTCTTTCTTTCTTTTTTTTTTTTTTTTTTTTTTTTTGAGACAGAGTCTTGCTCTGTCACCCAGGCTGGAGTGCAGTGGTGTGATCTCGGCTCACTGCAACTTCCACCTCCCGGGTTCAAGCAATTCTCCTGCCTCAGCCTTCCTAGTAGCTGGGACTACAGGTGCATGCCACCATGCCCAGCTAAATTTTTTTTGTATTTTTAGTAGAGACAGGGTTTCACCATGTTAGCCAGGGTGGTCTCGATCTCCTGACCTTGTAATCCACCTGCCTTGGCCTCCCAAAGTGCTGGGATTACAGGCGTGAGCCACCGCGCCCAGCCATACCCTTCTCTTTCTGATGCTGACACCCATGGACCTTCCACTGTGTCTTCTGCTGGTGCATGATGACATGCACACTCCGATGCAGCATCATCACTGTGGCAAATTAAAGGAGCCAGAGAGAAATTAAGTGAAGAACAGACAAGAAACTAACAAGTCTTTGGTTAGCAAAGTATGTCGGCCAGAAGATAAAGTTTTCTGCTTTCCTTTTTCCTTCTGCTGCTGCTGTTTCCAGTAGACTTAAGGTTAAGGATGCATGCATTAAGGGCATGATGACTGTTTTTTAAATGTTTTAAAATTTTTAGGAGAAAAGACTGAACATATGGTTCAGCCCTTGTCTATAGGAACAACAGAAAAAAATATTTTTTAGTAGGATTCTCCTGGAAAATCCAAGAGGATCATTTCCAGAGTTATAGGTCTAATTTGCTTTCTTTAGTGTTAGCTCTTTGCCAGAAACACTATGAAATAGAGACTGTGCTACGCAAGGGCATCAGGTCCGCCCACTGCTCCATCTCCAGCACCTAAATGGTAGCACTCACTCACTCAGGCTCAGCCAGACCAAGTGCCTGCCTGAACCGCATCTACAAGCCAGTATTTTAGGAAATTCTGTTCTGTGTCAAAGCAGCTTCACTGTAGTCTACTCCTGTGTTTCCCCAAATTAAACAAAGAACAGAGGTCATGTCCGTCTGGAGCTAGGGCGGTTTATTTTGTTTGTTTGTTTGTTTTTTCGAGACAGGATCTCGCTCTGTCACCCAGGCTGGAGTGCAGTGGCGTGATCTTGGCTCACTGCAACCTCCACCTCCCGGGTTCAAGTGATTCTCCTGTCTCAGCCTCCCTGGTAGCTGGGACTACAGGTGCGTGCCACCATGCCCAGCTAAATTTTTTTGTATTTTTAGTAGAGACGGGGTTTCACCATGTTGACCAGATTGATCTCCAACTCCTGACCTCAGGTAATCTGCCTGCCTTGGCCTCCCAAAGTGTTGGGATTACAGGCGTGAGCCACTGCGCCCAGCCATAGGGCAGTTTATTGGTTAATAAACTATACAGCAGACACCTGTGCCTCATTCCCTCGGCCCTTTAATGTCCCCTTGGCTCCCTGGGGCTCAGATCATTCCAGGGACCTCTGCACTTTTTTGCCGTCCCCCTACCCCCTCTCCACCACACCGCCAGAGTGAGCTTTCCAAACCCAAACCTATGCCTCACTCTTCAGCTTCATGTCCACTCAGCTGCTCTGACTGTCCCCAGGCCAGATTCCAAGTCTTAACCTGCACGTCCCGGATGGTGGACAACAGTAGCTCATCTCCTGCCACTCTCCATGCTGCGCTTCTCCTGTCAGGTGCCTCCTGCTCCTGTGTGGCTGCCTCAGCTGGGAGCGAACTGCTCCCTCCAGCTGTGCCCTGCACGCGTGAGACCTCTCGCTGACCCTGGAAACACAGCAATAGGATCACTTCCCAATGCCCTCCCTCACCTCTGTGTTGAATTTAGATGCCTCCTGTGTGACCTCATCACATGGTGTGAGCAGGGCATCTGGGCCAGGTGTGACCTCATCACATGGTGTGACCTCACTTTTTTTTAAAGAAGGGAATGAATTTTTTTTTAAGGAGGGAACAAATATAAAAAATCTTTGTCCTAGAGTCAGAAAACCAAGGTTCAGGTCCTACAGTTGAGACCTTCTTAGCTCTGTAACTTTGAGTAATTTACTGTAGAGAGCTGATGTTGGTTCCTTGAAGTGTAACATGGGAATTGTGCCTATTACATCTTACCTAGTTGCCGTGAAAATCGAATGCACTCACCTGCATGGAGAGGTTTTAGAAGCCATGAAACCCCGTACAAGTGTTTGGTGGCACCATAAGGACAGTTAGTGTTCATTTCCAAGCAATACAATATTGCATATTTGTGTGCAGATAATGAGCTTTCTATTACCTTTGACTCATCCCAAAGAGGTTCGTGAAAGTGCCCCAGGAGAGAGGGAAGGCAAAAGCTCTATTGGGTGAGATGCACAAATGTCAGACCATGCCAGAGCCTTCTGTTGTGTGGGCCCATGGGCCAGGTCAGATAAAGTCAGTACCGTTTGGGGCCCACCCAACTACACCCGAATGTCCTTCATGCCTTTGCCATGCCCAGAGGAAACTCATGCCTGTGAGGGTCAGCCAGTCCCTGGCTCTGCCCCATGTCCTGTCTCCTTTTGGAATGTAGAGCTAGTGCCCAAGAGAGGACCAGGATGGGGGCAGGGGCACTGGAGTAACCATGTAGTAGATGGCTGAGCAGAGGCCAAGGAGGCAGCTCCCACCACCACCCCAGAAAAATACCCCTTTTTCTCTCCAGAACGTGGCAGCGGTTGAAGCCAGGAAGGACCAGGCTGGAACGCTGTGCTTTTCCCTTTTTGGGGTGGCATTGTCCTCTGGAGAATTGCAAGCAGGCACCTTAGTGCTGAAGGTGCCACATCCTAGTTTGGGCGTGACTGCCAGGTGCCCACACTGGGCCCAGGGCCAGCCGCAGGCAGCAGCCTGTCACATCAAGGTGAGCAGCAGGCCATGGGCGGGGACAAAACCATGACTCATATTCCTGCTCATTCTTTTCCATCCCCTCCCCTTCTCCCTCACAGCCTCTCCTCAGCCTGTGTCCTGGGGTGTCACAGTCCCCCGAGGAGGAAGCCTGGGCCCTGTCTTAGGTCCTGTTCTGGCGGTGGCCTGGCCCCTGGGACAGAGCCCTACAGACAATTGCTGACCATTCAATCCTGCTGTGACACATGTGCTGTGCTGCCGGAGCTCACCCATTGCTGCTGCGCCTGGTGAGGATGGGCCAGCCAGGGCTGCAGGAAAAGAAAACTGACTTTGGTAGAGGGGAGACCCAACTGCTTTTGTATTTTGTGTTAATTTAAAATGGCAAAGATATAAGTCACAAAAAACATGCCCCTGCCTGAGTGTGCTATGCCTCATGTCCCAGCTGAGCGGAGAGCCCATTTCTGATGCTCATCAGAAGTTGCAGGCAGTGGGCTGCGGGATGTCCCACCGAGTGCTGAGCAGGTCAAGTGGGAATGCAGATCAAAACTCTCTTCCTTGGGCTCTGAGCAGTCCAGAGTTTAAAGGTTGTTAATTGGCCAAGCCTATTTAATATTTCATTCACGCGCACATGGAAACAAAGAGGTGGTCATGGCAAAAGCTGGCACAGGACATTCCCCTGTCCCACCACCCCATTCCCCTTGCCCTCAAAATCTTTATTCGATGGTCCTTAATGTCTGCATTTCATTCATGCTTCCTCTCCTGGGTCCTGGAGGTCTACCTGCTTCTGGGACCTGCAGCCTTTCTCCATGGAGAGAGCTGGGCTCTGGTTCTCCCATCCTCACTCTGTGTAGTGGAGAGACGGAGAGGCCAGATTTGTAGATGGCATCTTGGGGGTTCTGCCTGGCCCCAGAGTTCCATTCCTTTGTTACCTTGCTAAGGAGATGGGATGGGGGGCTTTGCTGTGCTCATTAATCTCAATCCCATGGAGCCCAGGGCCATGAAGAGATCTCAGAAAGGTCATGGCCTTTGCCTGGTTAACAACTGTTTGGTTCAGGAAACAGTATCCTTGGTGGGTGTTTCAATCCCTGATGAAAATGCATGCTAATTTTTATTTTTTATTTTTTATTTTATTTTTTTTTTTTGTGAGACGGAATCTCGCTCTGTCGCCCAGCCTGGAGTGCAGTGGTGTGATCTCGGCTCACTGCAACTTCTGCCTCCCGGATTCAAGCGATTCTCCAGCCTCAGCTCCCGAGTAGCTGGGACTACAGGCGCATGCTACCACGCCCAGCTAATTTTTTGTATTTTAGTAGAGACGGGGTTTCACCATGTTGCCCAGGCTGGTCTCGAACTCCTGAGCTCAGGCAATCCACCCACCTCGGCCTCTCAAAGTCCTAGGATTACAGGCGTGAGCCACCACACCTGGCCGCTAATTTTTTTAAAGTTTGCTTAAAAAAAAAATTTATTTTTCCCTAGAGGACCTCACAGAGCCTTTAATTTGCTGACAAGCACATGAATCTGAAGGGAAGGTGTATAGAATGATCTGATAGGTTTCCTCCATGTTTCTACAGTCCTTGTGTGCACTCTGGCATGACCATCAGCATGTGGCAGTGTGGTGTTGGATTTGGAGTATTTTCCATGCCTGATTGTAAATCCCTCGGGGTAGGGACCATGTCTTCATCTCCCTAGGTCGTAGCGTGAGAACCGGCACGTGTTTCCCGCTTGACAGGTGTCCCAGCCGTGGAGGCCTTTGCGATCTGTTGAGATGGCCTCATGTTTCTTCTTGCCCCCACAATGTGATTCAGCAAAAAGACAACTGGGTAACAGACGCATGGAGCAGTATTTCTTGGATCCCATGGGGCTTGCTGTGTTGAGACTGGGCTTTCGAGTCTGAATTCAACTGAGAGTGAGGTGTTGCTGATGCAGAGAGACTCATGGGCCCAGCCCCTTGTCCTCTGTAAAGCTGGGAACAGAAGCTAAGTCTGGAGAGTCGAACCCCAGAGTTTTAGAGATAGAACTGATAGGCAGGTCGCCGTTCTCCTGGGACCCCAGTCTTTGTGGCCTTTCCCAGCAGCTGAACTTTGGACCCCTCTCTCTGTGACATCCTGCTCCTAACCTGGCCACATGATGCTGCTTGAGAATCCAGCCACAGCCTGAGCCAGGACAGCTCTCAAGAGAGGAGGACAGGCTGTGGGATGAACGGTCATGGCCACAGATGGAAGGGACCCAATTCCTTAAAAAAAAAAAAAAAAAGAATGATGTAGGAGTCTTTAAGCTTCTCTAAAGGGCAGGGCTTGGGGGTCCCTGTGTCCCTCTTATTGAAGCACGTTTCCCTCTCTTTTTTTTCAGTAGAAAGACAGTTGAGGGGGTGTGTTCTGTGTGACACTGCTGCAGGCTCCTTTGGGGGAGAAACCCTGATCTAAGTCACAGCTGGTTGGGGTCTTAAGTCCTTAAGCAGTTTAACTTGGGGTCAGGCATAAAATGGGGGGGGTGGGTAGAAATAGAAAATATACAAACAACAGGAATATAAAATGTGGGACACCTTCTGTGGCCTGGACATCCCTGCTGCCTCGAGCTCCCCGCAGCTGCTGATGTTCGCTAGCGCCTCTCGTCACCCCAGTACCACGCTCTGACCTTCTGTTCCTGCTGCACCTGTTCCCCACCCCAGCATCTTTGCCCGAGGGAAGGCTTCGTCCAATCCCGTTCCCGCCCTGGATGACCACGCCAGCTGTGGGCCTGCCTGGCCGAACGCAGGTCTCCATCAGAGGGGCCCGTCTGCATGGGGGTGCCTGCACACCTGTCGTGTCGACATCACTGAGGACCCCTTGGGGGCTCAGGCCAGCTTGAGGGCCTCTTTGTCTCCTAAATAACTGGGACAGTATCTGGGGCTTAGATGAGCAGTCAGCATAGCAATAAGTGACCGGAAATACAGAGATGTGTGGACTAAGACTGTTGAGGTTGACTCGGATGTGTGCAAAGGCCCCAAAGTGACCTCCCTCCACGGTTGAGCCGTTGCCTGAAACCCGACTATGAGAATGCAGTTCTGTATTTTAAGGCAGATGAGACAAATGCCCCCAAGAATGGCAATGCAGTGAGCTCTGTGACTCACCTCACCTCCTGGTGATTGAGCCTTTCTGATCCTCCTGAGTTTAAGGATCCTTGGGTGGATGGGTGGGCGGGGCACAGCTGAGGTCAGAGCTCTCAAAGGCCAATACTACGGACTTGCCTTTTTTGTTGTTGTTTTATTTGGAGGGGGGTGTTTGTTTTATCATGGTAAAATAAACATAGCATAAAAATTACCATTTTAACTACTTTTAATTGTACCATTCAGTGGCATTAAGTAATTCACATTTTTACACAGCCATCACCACCCTTCATCTCTAGAGGTCTTTTCATCTTCCCAAACAAACTCTGTCCCCAATAAACACTCCCCATTCCCATCCCTTAGTCCCGAGCAGCCACCCTTCTACTTTCTGTTTCTATGAATTTGCCTACCTAAGAACCTATTTAAGTGGATCATGCAATATTTGTCCTTTTGTGACTGGCTTACTTCACTTAGCATAATGTCTTCAGGATTCCCTCAGAACAAGGACCTCTAAGGACAAAAATAAGTGAAAATAAGAAAAAAAGAAAAAATGCTTCCTTTATACTATAGCATATGTTGGATATGGCCTCCCTTTTTAAGGCTGAGTTATATTTCATCCTCTGGATGGATCACATTTTCTTATCCATTCATCTGTTGATGGACACCTGCGTTGCTCCCACCTTTTGGCTGTTGTGAATATGCTGCCGTGAACATAGGTGTGCAAATATCATTTCAGGTCCTTGCTTTCACTTTTGGGGGGTTATACCCAAAAGTGGCATTGCTGAGTCAGATGGTAATCCTCTGTTTAATTCTATGAAGAACAGGGATATTGTTTTCTCCAGTTGGCTGCACCGTTGTACATTCCCACCAGGAATGTACTGGTGCACCAGGGTTCCAGTTTCCCCACATTCTTGTCAGCACTTGTTATTTCCTGTTTGTTTGACAGCAGCTACCATCCTGATGGATGTGAAGGGCTACCACATTGTCGCTGTGATGTACATTTCCCCGATGACAGTGACGTTGAGCATCTTTCCATGTGCTTCTTGGCCATCTGTATGTCCTCTTCAGTTTTTGTTTTGTTTTAAACTTGCACTCAGATGGATAGTTATATGTGTGACCTAAGGAGAACCACTCAGTGATGAAGAATAAACGTGGCAACACCAGCTAGCATAGCTTAGCAGCATCTGTTATCTGCCTGAGGGCGGTGAATTCCCAGTGAGATGCTCATTCTAGTACTGTCCTAGAATGAAATGAGTCTCAGCTGGCATGTTCCTCGCTCTCCTTCTCGGTGCCCATCTTTTTCTTAGTTGAAATGATCTGTGATTCTGGATGCAGCCCGTGTTGTTCTGGGACGTCTCTGTATTGCACTAAATTAATAAAGGAGCTTTCATTTTTGCAGTTATGTATTTTGAATTCCCTATTCTCTCTTCATCCTGAATGACTGAGACTTGATTAGACATCGGCACAGCGCACCTGACATGGCGCTGACATGGAAATGCAATGGGTGGCAGCTCGGGGTGCAGACCCCACCCAGGATGCTGTGCCCGAGGGGAGCCAGGGCTTCCCTTTGAAATGGCAAAGGTTCCCACCATCCCTCCAGCCCCCGATGGCAGATCCCTTCTCACTTCTTCCTCACTGGAGCTGTGACTCCTTCCGGTGTTTTCCTTGGGTTGATGAAACAGAAACTCTCCTGGGGCCTTTTTTATTTTATTTTTTAATTTTATTTGTGGTAAGAACATCTAACATGAGACCCACCCTCTTAACAGGTTTTTTCAGTGTACAGCACAGTATCGTGAACTATAGACACAATGTGTGCAGCAGAGTTCCAGAGCTTATTCATCTCGCCTGCCTGAAAGCTGATGCTAGTTGACGAGCAACTCCCCATGTCTCCCTCCCTCTACCCCCGGCAACCATCAGCCCACTCTTTGATTTTCTGAATTTGCCTATTTTTACATGCCTCATGTAAGTGGAATCATGTAGTATTTGTCCTTCTGTGACTGGCTTATTTCACTTAACATAATTCCTCCAAGTTCATCCACGTGTCGTACGTGTCAGAATTTCATTCGTTCTTAAGCGGAATCATATTCTATTGTATTTTTCACTGTGTTTCGTGTGTCCCTTCACCTATCAGTGGACCTCTGCGTTGTTTCCATATCTTGGCTGTTGTGGATAACACTGCAGTGAACGTGGGAGCGCTCACGTCAAGTGCTTTGAGATCCTAATTTCAATTCTTTTGGATAAGTACCTGGAAGTAGAATCACTGGATCATATGGCAGTTCTAGTTTTAGTTTTTTGAGGAACTGCCATACTGTTTTCCATAATGGCTGCACCATTTTTGCATCCCTACCAACAGTGTTTAAAGGTTCCAATTTCTCTCCATCCTGGGGACTTTGATACTGAGAACCTAACCTGTCTAGCCTCTTCTGCACTGGCCGCCTTTGCAAGAGCTGGTTGCCTCTCTGAAAACTCTCCTCCCAGGCCTCTTCCCTTCCCCTCACCCACATGGCAGGACAGTCCTACTTCCTTTTCCCTTAAGGGAAGATTCAAATGCTGCTTCTTTGGTGAAGTCTTCCCCAGGCCTCGTCCCTTTCTTTGCATTCCTGTAGCACAGAACCCCATCTGTGTCTTATAGGCACGTGTCTCTTCATCAGACTGTGAGCCCCTTGAGGCCGGTGGTGTGGCTTCATCTCGGCATCTCCCCTGGCATGGTGCTACCTCATCCTCCTTGCTGAATAAGTGAATGAAATGCATTCATTATACACAGCCGCCTTCTGTTTTCCATTATTTGTCATTATTCAGTGTGTTCTGTGAACCAGGAGCTGGGCATGGCTTGTTGAATAAGAACACAGTCCCTAAACTAAGGAGCTTTTAGGCTGGTAACCAAAAAGGGAAATTCTAAATTTTTTTATGATAAGCTTTTAGATATCTTTTTGATATTTAGAATGAAGTAAACACAGTAGATGTAGTCCAATTTTGGAAATCATTTAAGACCTGAGCCTAATTGAGCAGGTAGAAAGCCAGGAAGAACACACCTACTTTGTATTTGCAGTCCTTTCCTCATGCTAATTGATAAGGCGATTAATCCTTACACTATTGCTGAGCCACAACCCCATTTAAAAATAAAAATTAGGAAAGCTGTCTGGATAATTATTAGCAAAGACTTTACAGAGGCTGGGATAAGTCCTCCAGCTGGTTGTTTGCACTGGGAGTTTTACAGTGTACTTGACCTTTGCTTAAGGTAAGGGAGTTTGTTTGGCAAAAACAATGATACATATTTCCATGGCATTGGAATCCTGCTGGATTTCTGAGACTCTGGGAATGCAGATGTGGGCACTGGAGTAAATGTGAGCATTTCATTACAGTGCCTGCCTTGTTTTGGGTTTTTTTTTTTTTTTTTTTTTTTTTTTTGGCTCTGTTTTGGTTTTCTCTTCCAGGCTGTATTGCTAGGTTTACTGCTTTAAAATTGTCTTTATGGTCCAGGCTGCTGCAGCCTTTAGAACAAACCACGACAGTTGGGATCTAGAAGCCTGCGCCTCTCCTAGAGACACCACCTGCATCACAGTGTCGGTGACCTGACCTTTGAAGGGGCCATTTCCCATCTTGGAAATGGGGATACTACTTGATATTCTTATTTATAGGATTTGGTGAGGGCATATGAGGTAACACATCCACAGATGCTCTGAAGGGCTTGAGCGGGATCCTGCACCTTATTACAGGTGGTTGTTGGTATCTTGGGCAGGTTTCAAGACCTGGAGGTTCAAGCCAGCCCATCTCACTGCTGAGCCAATAAGGAGGAAGACAACAGGGTTACAACAAAGCTTCAGGCTTAGGAAGAAATGTTTCACGTGGATGGTGTCCTGGCCAGCGGGTTTGGTTCTAAAATAAACACTACTGTCTCTGGGGCTGAAGATTTGCCCAGGACAATGAAGCAGCCAGCGGGAGGGTAGTGCAGAGCCGGTAAGTTTAGGGTCAGCTTTATTTTCACAGGCAAATGAGGAAGTGAGAGGCTGCTAAAATCACTCCTCTGAGGCTTCCCCTGCCCCTTGGATGAGGTCGCTGCCATCTCTGAGATGGGGGTGTGGCCTGTTACCCTTGTAGGCACCGAGGGTGGATCTAAGACACTGTTTTACCATCCAATCCTGTCAGCGGTTCCATGGCCCACCGGTTTCCTTTTGAATGTTTCCAGGAGCCAGAAGTCCAGATCCCAAGGGCTGGCACGCAGAAGGAGGGCCCTCCCGAGAGAGCACGCGTGCTTCGATTTCTTTCGTGATTATGAGATGTTTCTGATGTCACGTGTATCTGCTACCCGGACTCGGAAACAAGCCTCATTAATAAGTCCCACCCTCCCGCCTCCACCCACCCCCGCCTCCTCCCGCCTCCTCCCCCTCCCGCGCCCCCCGCCTCCTCCCCCTCCCCTGTCCACAAGTCTCCCCACCCCGTTTGCTGTTTTTCATCCTCATGAGTTTCGTTAGGTTTTCCCACATCTAGAACACTGCGTTGTACAGTTTTGCCTTTAAAAAAAAACTTCCTACAAATGCTGTCGTACTGTGTTTGTTTTTCTGAACTTCCTTCTTTTTTTAATACCTCAGCGTTATATCCAGTGGCTCCTCCGTGTCGATGCGGAGACAGGGAATGAGTGAGAGCGACGCCGGCTTTGAGAGCTGGGGTTTGTGCAGGGCTGAGTGAGACCTTGGGCTCCCGTGGCCCAGAACTTAAGAAATAGCAAATGAGAATAGTAGATGAGCCAGAAATTGAGAGTAAATTTGGGAAGGCACAGAAAGGACTGACCAGGCATCAAGTGGCCTAGCTCTGGAGCCTGGGAGTGGGGCTGATACAGGGAGCGGGGCGGGAGGGCCCAGACCTAGCCCAGACTCATGAGAACGGTAACCTTGTTATGACCTTGGCCTTCACACAATAACTTCCCTCTGCCCAGCAACGTCCTGTTCTCTTATACACATGGTAAGAGGGAAAATATCTATCTATAAATACATTTATATTTCTAAGAGATCATCATGGAGATTTTTTTTCTCGACCCAGGGAGGGTTGCTTTGTTGCATAGAACAGGGTGTGACGAACCCACGAGCAGCATGCTTGTCTTCCTCCCGTCTTTTAAGTTCAAAGGCTTCTCACTGTACCTAATAAGTCGATGTCTTTACTGATATTATTTCTGATTTCCAGTTTGAAGATGAGAAAACTGGTGGTTATCAAGGCCTCTCTATTCATCCCATTTTATTTGAAGAGCTACTGGATAGTATTTGGAGGGAGACTTTTTTTTTTTTAGCTGGGGAGGGTGGCGGCCACAAAGACAGGGAGCTGTTTCCAAGCAGATAGAGGGTAGGAGCCCAAAGATAAGGATTTGAATACTGCCATGTGGAGAGGCGCTGGTTTTTTTTGTTTGTGTTTTTATAAACTCGGTAGTAGGAATATCTTTTATTGTTTTTCCTGTTGCCTGTTTAAAGGAAAGAGTGTAGCACAAATTGTCCAAATGCCTTGTGCTTTTAGGGGCAGAGTTAGATACTGTCACCCTCTGGCCCTCAGGTCCTGCTTTGTCTGTTCTGCGTGTTGTCTACCCATGAACTAATGAGGCTGCCTGCTTAATTGACCTGGAAAGACAAGTGTCAGTTGAAGAAGATGATGTTGAATTATGAGATTCAGAAACCCATTACATGGCTACTTGGCCCAGCATAGTACCTTCCCCATTTGTTAGACATTCACTATTTGATTAATTAGTAAGAAATTAGAGATGGTGTGGATCATTGAAATCTAGAGCAACCCCTCCAACACCTTGACTTCCCCCTAACACTCTTACTGGGACATCAACTAAAAACAGACTGTGTTTCAGTTCATCCATTGCTTTACCCACTAATAAATGGTTCACCCATCCTTTCTTGAGTGCCTGCTGGATGCTGGGTCTCTTGAGGATGGAAAGACATTGCCTTGCCTTTGAGGCACAGAGTCTCTGCTATATCGATGGATCTGACCACAGTACAGTGGTCACTACAATCGAGGAACTTATTAAATGCAGCAGGGACATGGAAAGAGAATCTGAATCTTCTTGAGATTTTCTTTTGTTTACCCAACCCACCTCATGTAAAGATGTAAAGGTACACAAGTCAAGAGAAGGAAAAGTCTGTGAGTGCCTTTAGTCACTTGCTCCTCCGTAAATGTGCACTTCCTGTTGAATTTACCTTTGAAGGGTCCTGAAAGGAGTGTCTTTGCCCATCCAATGCCCTGACTGCCTCTCCGTTGGGAGTGCACCATGCTATGTGTTTGTGTGAGCCTGTGTGTGTGTTTTGCTTAGAAGTTGCATGTGGCTCTTGTCTTGGCCATGCCAACTCTAAGGAGAAAACACATGTGATCACCATCGAAATTTCCACAATCCAATCAGGCCTGCCAAGGAGGTTTATGGGTCCAGATAAGTGGCTTAGCTACCTGTCACATCAAAGGATTCAGTCAACCGACCCAAGGACCAGCATTTTTCCTTGTGCCTTCTTAGAGAAAGTAAAGCAGCCCACGCATAGGAGACCTGGAAAAGTTGGTAGTCTGGGATCTGTAAGGAGCCTCTGCATGAGGCTTCCTCGATGCTGTCATGCTCTGGGCCAGAACTGGGGTCCTGGGAAACACTGGTGGTAGAAGGGAGAGTCTGCCTCTACTAAGAAGGTGGGGGAATGGTGTGGCTTCCTGAGGAGGGAGCTCTTGGGAACAGCAGCCCTGGAAGCCAGAAATCACGTGAGTACATTTGGGTGGCAGTGCACAGGGCAGAAGAGCCACATCACAGCTTCGGTAATGGGACGAGGCGAGCACAGCCCTTTACCTGGAAAGGCAGTGGTTGACTGATCTAGTGATTTGGGAGCAAAAATTCCAGTAGCCCTAGTCTTGTGATTTGCAGCTGAACTGTTTTCCTAATAGTCTTATACATGTGATTTTGTAAAGCATAATGAACACCTCAATCAAGCAGGTGACATCGTGAATCCCAGCATGAGGGTCACGGCATTTCCCATTGAGTGGGATTCAGGCCTGAAGCCAAACCGCTCAAGCCAGATGTTGAGACACAGGAAGTTATTTTAACTAAAATGCTGTAGAAGAGGGCAAGATTGGCAGCTGGGAGAATCAGGCAGCACCTCTTCATTGGGGAGCTGGCTGTGGTATAGGAAATCTAACACAGACGGAGTTTCCCTTTTTTTGTTCAAATGCTGGAAAACCAGGTTTTGGTTTAAGCAGCCAGGTAAAGGCCCACAGTTATGTGCCTTTTATGGCCCTTTGCCATCTTGCCTTCAAAATCTCCAAGAATAACAGATTATTCCTGTGAGCAGGGAAGTAATAATACTTACATGTAATTTTAGATTAGGCGGAGCACTCACAGGTGAGACTTTGCATCTCTTGACACGGTCTGGTCGTTGCTGAAGAACAGGGTAAAAAGTCTTACTTAAAATTTCAGGCAAAAAATGAATATAATCACTGTAGTATTTTCATACATATTTTGACCCTGTTCCTCAGCAACAAAGTCCTGTTGGGACAAGCTGACCACTGGGGGTTCTGGTAGCAAGGTGCAGGTCACGGGGGCGACTGATCTTCTCCCGGGTGTTTGCAGGGCACGCGGCTTGTCCATGCGTATCCAGGGAGCGTCTCTAAACTGCTGTTGGCTCTGGGTTTGCACTATGTGCTTTTCCTTCACTCAGATTAATTAAAGAATTGTCATTTCTCTGCTTTTTGAACACCTGTAAGCGACACCATTTATCCTCAGACCTCCAGGAAGCTTGGCAGTTTTCATATGCTGTGAGAGTATGATTTAAGGACTCAAGTGAGTCCATTTTCCATGATTCAGGTGAGTCCCAGTAGCAGGTTTCTCATTTTCAGATGGAAAAACAAGAATGGCAGAGATCAGAGCCTTTTCTCCCTTTTGTTATGGCCGGGGCTTGGTGTGTGCTCACCTGCTCTCTTTCTCTCTGTCTGTGTATTTGTGTGTCTGCAAGTATGCCTATGTGTGTATGTGGCCGTGTATGTGAATGGGTCAATATGTGTCTGTGTGTGTCTGTGCATGCATGCCGGTGAGCTTCTGTGGCTGTGTCTGTGTGTGAGTGTGTCTGTGCATGTCTGTATGTGCTTGTGTTTGTGGCTGTGTGTGTGTGTGTCTGTGCATGTCTGTGTGTGCATGCTTGTAAGTGTCTATGGCTGTGTGTGTGTGTGTGTGTGCATGTCTGTGTGTGTATGTTTGTGAGTGTCTGTGTGTCTGTACATGTCCGTGTACGTGGTTTTCACTGTCAGAGCAGCAGGACAAGAGGCACTCTCACATCTCCTTCCACAACCTGCCCTGTTCCTCCCTTCCTTATCTGTGGTCCTGGTGGGCCTGGTTTTGCCATGGCCTCTGCCACCTCTCAGCACTCCAGCAGCCCTGCCTGGGGAGGGGAGGCCATGGAGTGCTTTCGCCTTGACGCCCATTTCAGAAACGGAGCAGCCTTACCAGTCGGGTGGTGGACAGTCATCCACCCAGAGCATCCCTCCCTGCTCTCCTGTTTGGTGTGGCCTAGATGGGAACTCCATCTGCCTCGAGGTGGTCCCCATGACTGCAGCAGCTCAGGCCTTGGCCCTGCTGCCCATCCTCCTGCTCACCTGGGGGTCATGTACATTTGATGAGAATGCATTAGAAACCTGGGTTTCCTGGCTCAGTCCTGAATGAAGTAGCAAGTCTCCTCGGGGACAGTTTTGATACCAAATAGCAGAAATATGGCTCCATAGGGCCCACCCTGTGGTACAGTGTGGCTGGGGGAGGAGATGGGTTACAGAATCTTTGAAGTGGCCAGTGACGTGTTCTTAGGCGAAAGCCAGGAAAGGTCGAGGGGAGAGAGGTTTCCAGAGCAGTGGGAGGGGTGGGCGGGAAGCCACAGAGAGGGCTGTTGACTGAGCCTGGATGACTGCTCATTAGTCCTGACCGTCCAGTACTTGTGGGCTGAACGTTCCCCGCTGCCTGGCACGCTCAGGGCAACCCCCAGGATTTGTGTTCATTGCCCAGCTCAGCCACCCCCACCCCATAAAATCTCAAGACTTGTCTTTCTGCCAGCACTAGCTGATAACATCAGATTATTTTTCCCCAACCCTTTTCCTTCGCCCCTTCGTTTTCCACCCTAAGAGGCTAAATTGCCTGGCATTTTCCACCGCACTCCGATTACACTGGACAAAGGGCCATCCGGCTAGAATGCTAATAGGGAGATTTTTTTTCCATCCTGCCTGAGCCTCACAAAAGCTGGGGGCTTTAACTGCGAGGGCCTCTCTAGCTCTCACTTTCTTTCCTGTAATTCTATACAAACGGCATTAGCCTTTTATGAGGTCTTTGTTTGTGGCCATTCTGAGGGTACTTTTCATCTCACATGGGTTTCTTGAATTTTAAGTGGAATTTGTTCAAATCGGCCTGGCCTTGCTTCTCCTGGAGGAAATGCAGGCTCACCATTATAAGTTAGTAAATTCAAAAGGGATTTTTTTTTTTAAGAAAAAAATCTTTCTCTTTCACCACAAATTAAATGCGTCAATAAGAGAAGATGATTAAAAATTCAAGTGCCCTTTGAAGATACAAGATGATTGACCTCAGAATGGGAGTGAGAAGGGCAGTGAGACCAGCTCCCCATTACCACCAAGAAATTCCATTTGTTTTCTCTCTCTGATGTGAAAATAACTCCGTCTCCCTTGAGGAATCTGCTCTCATAATAAAAATCACCATTTGCATTTTTTAAGTAATAATGCTGATTTTTCTGTTAGAAACTGAAGGATAACTAAAACATGCTGGCTCTGACAACCAGTTTGACGAATGGATCAGTTAATCCAGCCTGCAGCTGTCAAAGCTTCAGAGCAGGCATGGGCCAAGTTTTCTGCAAAGGGCCAGAACATGAATATTCTGGGCTGTGCAGGCCATACGGTCTCTGCCCCACCTACTACTCCCTGCTACTGCAACAGCAGCCATGGACAATCTGGAGGTGAATGAGTGTGACCGCATTCCACAAAAGCCGCATTTGTCGACACTAAAATTTCAATTTCACATAAACTTCACACAAGAGATATTATTCATCTTTTGGTTGTCTTGAACCATTTAAAAATGTCCATTCTTAGGGACGAGCTGAATAAAATCAGGCAGTGCATTGTACAAAAACAGCAGCCTTCAGCAGGATTTGGCCCGAGGGTCATAGTTTTCCAACCCTACTTTAGAGCAGCTTTTAAAACTGTAGTTTATGACACATTAGGGCTTGGGTTAAGGGTTATAGAATCCATCGGGTGGGTCCTGCCCAGCATTTTTAAAGAAAAAAATAGAATTAAGTGCATCACACACAATAAGGGTTAAGTATCGTTTCATGAAAATTTGGGGTGTGTGTGTGCATGCATGCTGAGTCACTATGCTGTGCAGTACTGGGAAATAATTTTCTATCAACCATGGTCCTACTCATCCACCAGACTTTTATGTGCTTCAAAGGACACAAAGACCAAGAACCAAGGGACTGTGAATGTACTTAGCCCCCAAGAGGGGATGAAGGCGACCGTGATCATCTGCCTTCGTGTATCACAGGAATCAAGAGCCCTGGAAGAGGTGCTCTGTCCCAGGTCTGTGATCAGAGAGCGATGGGAGCAATAAGCCACCACCTTATCTTTCCTGAAGATATCAGGTTGCTTGAGGCACTGCCCACTTCATATGAATTTCCTGCTTTCATGTTAGGCTTATTTCTGAGTAGTTCAAATAATTCATCTTCTCCACTCTGCTCTTCCACCTCCTGAGATTCAGTGATATTTAAAGCACTTGGGTGGTTGAGTATTCAATATTCTTCACCAAACAGAAATACAATAGTGTGTGGGAAGAAGGGCCATGCATTTTAATCTGATGAAAACAGCTCATGCCAGCTGTGACGGTTAGCCTAACTGCAAACTAGGCTGTGAGGAGGTGGAGGAGGAAGGAAGGTATATTTTGGTACTATAATAATTCAGGGCCTGCAGGGGATGCCCTATGGTTGAACCACATTCTAGAGAGGGTTCCAGAAACTCCAGGGGCCACAGGGCTTGCCTCGGGGTTGGCATTGGGATTTGGTGGTAGGAGTCAATTTGGCCGAAGAGTCCTCGGGTAGGTGGGATAGGGAGAGAGAGGCTGCCTCTTAGGTCCCCAGGAAGTGGGGAGGAAGAAAGACAGGTAGGAGACAGAAAGGTGTTTGGGGCTCTGACTGCCCAGTCCGAAGCCCCAGCTCAGTGCTGAGCTGCTTGGTGGCTAGGGCAGGCTTCCTCGAGGGTTCTGCAGGCTTTGGCAGGGAGGAACGAAGAGCAGGGAGAAGTGCCCCGCGGCCAGTTGGCCCCAGTGGGAAGCACCCCATCACCCAGCTGTTTGCAGAAAAGGCAGCTGTCCTTGAGGGCAGAAGCAGAGGAGCATCCCCCTTCCTTGTCATCCTGCTCAGGGGAGGCTTTGTGGCTTTCTGGTTTACCCAGAGGGAGACACTGTTTACTCTTCTGAAGGGGTTATGAAAGATGACTATTTCCAGAGTGGTGATGAACGCTGGAGAGACAGTTGGAAGGGAAGACAGTACCAGTTGACTCTCCTCTGAGGCAAAGCCTCTAAATTCCTAAGCCCTCCCTGCCCTGGCTCTGGGTCATGGGGACCCGGTCCGTTGGCTGGGAAGGGTTTGTCTCCTTGTGACCCAGGATGCTTGCTGTAAGATTTGGTGACTTTCTGCAGCTGGAAGGTTTGAAGCTCTGTTTTCCTTGGACAGTTTGCTAGTTGGATCTTGGGTTGAATGAGCAGCCGCTAGGGGTGAAGTATCTGGCCTCAGGTGTTGGGTGGGTCAGGTCCTAGGAGTTGGGAAGGGCACCACACCCAGCTCCGTGCCGGGAATGTGGTGGATGCTCGTGTGATTGCCAGGCTAGTAAGTGCCGAATGGTGGGCTGCATTTTTCCATCAACAGGGCCGGATTCTATAGTGTGCACTCACTTAGGTGCAGATGGGACTCAGTAAGAAGACAGTGGCCTTGCTAAATAAAGAAACTGAGAGCAAGATAAACACAATGCAGACTGCTATTGTCACTCTGAGCAGATGGCCACAAGTCACCCAAAGCTCAGGTAAGAAGAGAAAACAGAAGCTTGTAGAAAAATACAGCTCCTGCTCCAGGAAAGATGGCGCCTAGGCTTTGGTTCAGAGGCCAGACCCCTCCGTTGTAGTAGCTGTTCCAGGCCATGGTCAGAAACCAATTCCCTTCCTCACTTCCCCACATCCCCACATCCTTCCGTCCCCAAGCATGGAATCGTGGAACGTGCAGGCACCAAGGATTAGAGGGTTGGGACTGAAGAAAACAAAAAGAATGTCTCTTTCCTCCTGGAGCCTTCCAGAGCAGGAGACACACAGCATGCAGGTAACTAGATAAGTGTGTCCCCCACAGCTGGGACAGGTGCCATGAAGGAGAAGCCTGCAGTGAGATAAGAGAGCCAGTGAGGCCTGAGTTAGATGAAGGAGTGGAGAGCAAAAGCCTCCATGATGACACATCACCACGCAGAGACAGGAGGGCGTCCAGGCTGGGGCAACAGCCGCACACCTCCCGATGCTGGGCAGAGCTTCATCTTTAGCAGTAGAAGGAAGGGCTCTTGGCCACAGCCTGAGGGCAGGGCAGACTGTGTAGGACCTCCTATGCCAAGCCAAAGACTCAGGAATCTTGTGCATAAAGTGAGTCTCCAGTGGAGATTAGAGGAATAATGAGAAAATATCAGACTTTTAAAAAATTCAATATGAAGTCATAAAAAAATCAGATTTTTATGCTAAAAAGTATAGATCAGAAAATGTAAAGTAGGAGGAGAAAGAGAAGACCATTGAGAAGAACCAGGAGGTAGCCAACACGAGCGATGAATGAGAGAGGGAGGCTGGGAGAGAAGCAGCTTAGGAGACCCAAGAGATCAAGCAGATACCTGAGGCATTTGGCAGTTCATTGCATGGCTGGGCCCTGCCTCCTGTTACCCAGGGGAAGGAATGACTAAGTGCTCCTGGTGTAGTTAAATTCTCCTGTGCAGTTCAGCTCTCAGAGGTCAGCCGTGATGATGCTCCAATGTTGGGGGTTGGTTGCTCAGGTCAGCCGCCAACACTCACCAGAGTCTTCTCTGTGTCAGCTCTTCACCATCCTGAGGGGTGCGAGGAAGTGTGAGAGAAGGACATGGCCCACAAGAACGCTAGGGTCCAGTTGGGGGGACAGATGCATGTGCGTGTAAGACAACGCAACCGTACAAAATAGGAAGCTGCTGAATGTCCCGCAGTGATGCGAGGGGTTAAGTCCATGAGTGGCGTGGCTGCACGGTCAAACTTCGGGCACTCACAGGACATCACAGCGTGGGGGTAGTTAATGACTTGGGGAAATGTGTGCAACATAATGTAAAATAACAAAAGCAAACTGATAACCATTTAAAAAAAAACGTTGTGAAAGATTGGGAGGAAATATACTAAAATATGAACACTGGGTGTTTGGGTTATTGGTGATTCCCTTAATACATATGTCTGTATTTTCAGGGAATTCCCATAGTATCTTTGTTTAATGTGAAAAGTTAAAATGTATGTATGTTGTCCTTTAGATGCTACTAGGGGGTATATGCTCTGTGTTATATGTGTGCCCTGACCCAAGACAGCTTTGCCAGGTCCTAGGTTAGAATTCATCCTGGGTGTCAGCAAGGGCAGACTATTTCTAGTAGGACTGAGCTGAGCAAAGGCATGACAGGGAACCAAGTGGAAGGTGGGTCTGAGGGATGGCCAGGGAATGGGCACAGCTCCCATGGACTCCCAAGAGGCTGTGGGATGGTGCAGCTGGGAGTAGCTGGAGGTGTTTCATGCCTGCCCAGGATCTGGATGTGATGACACAGGAATGCAATGCCAACACAAGGGTTTAAAGAGCCACTTGCCTGCTTGGGAATGCCCTTGTAAGCTGTGTGGCAGCAGATACGGAGGGGACCCTACCCAAGCTGGAACAGAGTAGCGGCAATGGGGTGCACAGTCACTAAGAGGATTTGCAGGGAGGAAGCTGGCTGGACTGGGACTTCATCCATGCAGGGGAGGAAGGGGTTGCTGCCCCCAGTTCTCATCCTGGGGTGACTGAGGGAATGCATGGGTCATTAACAGACATGAAGTGGATGGAAGGGCTGGCTTTTGTGCGGAGAGGGGCAGGGGTGATTGCAGCTTCAGACGTGCAATGCTGGGTTTTAGAGGTACATGAACGTGTGAGCAGGTCAGCAGAGACGTTGAGCTGGGACCCGAGCAGAGGTGGCGCTGGCCTGTCAGATTGGCATCGTGCACATTCAAAGAGAGTCTGTGCCCTTGAACGTCCAGGAGCCTGCTTGGGCTTTGAGCAGTTCAAGGCAGGAAAAGTTTCACTGGCACCAGGCTGAATCACTCATAGGCTGTAAGTGGAACATTTCAAATGCTGAAGTGGAAGCTGTTTAGTGGCAGTATGACAGCTGACAGCAAGCGTGTGTACCATGTTGCTCAGTGTATTCTGCAATATCAAGGAAGGCCACAGCAGCCAACACTCTCGGAGAACGGGAGACACCAAAATAAGAAACAAGCTCGGCTATATGTACAGCAGGTTATAAATAGAAAACTGAAACAAAAACAAAATCTGCTTAGCAGCAGGTAGGCCAGTTCTACTTCATGATTATTTGGAGGCAGACTTGGTTTTACATAATGATAGAAATGTATTACTGAGTCAACAAGCATTTGACCATCTCAATTCCATATAAATACAAGTCCCACGTTTCTCTTATCCTCTTGTCCTGGGAAGGGCACCATATTTTTAGAAATATAAACTACTAGGGTGGGGTGTGGTGGCTCACACCTGTAATCCCAGCACTTTGGCAGGCTGAGGCGGGAGGATCACCTGAGGTCAGGAGTTTGAGACCAGCCTGGCCAACATGGTGAAACCTTGTCTCTACTAAAAATAAAAAATTAGCCAGGTGTGTTGGTGCATACCTGTAATCCCAGCTACTCAGGAGGCTGAGGCAGGAGAATCACTTGAACCCAGGAGGCGGAGGCTGCAGTGAGCCACAGTTCGTACCACTGCACTCCAGCCTGGGTGACAGAGCAAGACTCTGTCTCAAAAAAAAAAAAAAAAAAAGAAAAGAGATATAAACTACTGGTACTTTCCTTGTAACTTAAAAGTGAGTGCTTTCCCTCTAAGAAGTTGTTTTCTTAAGTTGACTGGAGATGGACTATATAAAACTCAACATGTATCTTTCGTTTCTCAGTCATTTGAATGAACCTCGGTACCTATTCAGACACCTCTGTGTGCTAATTCCCTAGATGCTGATGCTAGGAGTCTACTGAATTTGGGAATGTAGTAGAAGTAACACTAAGATAAAAGAAAGTTAAGAA
Organism: Homo sapiens; assembly: GCF_000001405.40. NCBI lineage: Eukaryota > Metazoa > Chordata > Mammalia > Primates > Hominidae > Homo > Homo sapiens. The sequence continues at coordinate 3,345,106 of NC_000006.12, read as the reverse complement.
TTCTGACAAAGCCAATTGTTCTTTGCATTCAGACATAGGGACATATTTATTACAGTCTTAGCCGTGGGTCTTTTGTCTAGTCAAGTACTGGACAACAAATGGCCACTTTCTTTGTATAAAGGAAGTTTGCTCAGTGAGGAGTCCACTTGTTTCCTGATACTTAAAATTTCTTGAACATCAAGACTAGGAAGATGGTTTCCTCAGCCCAGGCTGCCAGTGCTGCCAAGAAATGAGTTTTCTCCTGTGTTTGCTTCTAGCTCCAGAAGCACCTTTACCCCATTTTAAGGAGGCAGCAGGTGGATAGTTTGCAAGAAGCTTGCTTCTGAAATTATAAGGACCAAAATGTGATACTGAAGGAGTTCGTGATTGCCTAACGCTTACTTATTTCAATATGCTTAAAGTTTGGAATTGGTTCTTTCAAGACACGCTGTTCACTTCTACCTCCAGAAAAAGGATCTTTATACATCACTCTATGTGTACAAATTAGTTTCATTTTAACCTTCAATGAAATCCCAAACATTATAGAATGGCTTTTAGTTTCCCAGAAAATTTAGAACCCAGGCTGTTTGGCCCCAGAGCCCAGGTTCTTAACCACATGGTCGTGTCAGACACTACCGCTTGTGTCCTTTGAACTTTTCAATACAGCCCTTTAGACTCATCAAAGGGATCCAGTAGAGCTTCTGCTAGAAAAGGGGAAGGAAAGAGGGGAGGAGAATATGGCACATGTAGAGATTTGGCCAAGCTGTTTTGGGTATTCTCTATTATTTCTTATGCTTTTTCCATATATGTGAAATACTACTTTTTTAAAAAATTTGTTTGGTTTTCCCCTCCTTCTTACTTACATGTCATTGAGAATGCTAGGAAGGTGTTTTCATTTTGACATGTTAACATCAGATTCTAGATCAGTGCTGTCCAATAGAACACTTGAAGTGTGGCCAGTGCAACTGAAGAACTGAAGGTTTACTTGTACCTAATTTTAATTAATTTAAGTTTAAATAGCCATATGTGACCACTGTATTGGACAATGCAGTTCTGGAAGAAAAAGCCACAGAAACCAAGGCATTCCCCAGTGCTGTCAGAGACTGGACAGTAGATTCTAATTCGTGTACCATTCCCCTTAGCAAAAATCCTCTTAAAATATTTTCTAACTTAGGAATAAGCGAATCGAATCTAAAATTTACTTGAGAAAATATTCTCAATATTTATAGAATGTAAGTTCCTTCTTCTGCCATCCTGTGCCTTCTGTCTTCTTTCCCAAATGAAACATTTTTTCATTGCTTCTTGTGTGTATGTATTTAAGGGCTGCTCTCTGTTCGGCACCAATGTTTGACAGTGATTGGCTCTTCTCTTAAATACAGCCAGCTCCCCAAGGTCATCAGTCAACGTCATTATGTTCAGAAGCAGATAGATGGGCAATTCAAGAGCGACCTAGGGTCTTTCGACATTTGGCCGGCTGCTGAGTATTTAATTACGTCTCGACAAACATGGGAGAGAGCCCTCATTGATAAGCTTAGCTTGTTAAGAGCTGGTCTCATTAATGGTCATGGTGATAAATTGTGCTAGTCTTATTGAAAAAAAGATGTCTAAAACGAGGACATTATGTCTAAATGATGAGGATGTGTGTGTGTGTGTGCGTGTGTGTGTGTATTTGCAGGGGCTGGAGATGTTTCCTTCGTTCTTAAAGGATAAATCTGGTGTTTAAAATCCAAAGATCTGAATTCAAGTCCTAGATACTATAAACCATATGACCTAAGGCCTATTTGGTAACTAACCTCTTGGGGCCTCCCTGTTAAATGGGATTAGCACTTGTTTACGAGGCAAGAGTGTGGTTGGGAATAGATGTGGAAATGCAGTGTCTCTGTTTGCTGCTGAAGTGGTCCAGAATATGCCACTGGCCATAAGGACTGTTGTGAGCTGACAGCATTTGAGAACCAGCAGATGCAGGACGCAGCTTTGTCGGAACTCCCCCATCTACCTAGAAACAGAGCTTTCCCGAAGAATTCAACTGTCATAAATCCCCCTTTAAGGGAGATTTCTCCCAGCAGAGGTGAAGATGAGAAGTTGATGCAGGATGAGAAATTGCATAAACACACCTTACTAAAACAAACCTTCTCTTATATTATTTCCCCCGTGTATTTCTCTGTCATTTCCCACTATTTCTTGTCTCTTGAAATCCTAACCCCTTCCCTGCATTAGGATGGTATATAAAGCCCCAAATTCCAACCTCTTCTCTGAGCCATTTTTTGCACTCTCCTGCCGGTATACATATGTGATTAAACTTTGTCTTTCCTCTTGCCAGCCTGTCTTTTGTCAGTTTAATTCACAGGCCCCAAGCACTGACCCTAGGAGGGTGGAGGAAAAGGTTTTCATCCCCAGCACTAATGTGAAGGTGTTATTTGTACGATGGCAGTTTCAGGCAGATGAGAAATCCCAGCAATTTTGCTGACATTTGACGGCAAAAGCTCCTCAAGGTTTGAATCTCCTGGACCCCCCATCTACTGGCTTCCTGGGCTCCATCTGGAAAGCATCTGTTTCTGGGAATCTGGGCTCAGGGCCCCGGGGGACTCTGATGCTGTGGGTCAAGGAGGCCCCACCTTTGAGAAGCACTGTTTTCAGGGACCTCTGCAGACTGGGAGAGAGAAAGAGGTGTGTGTGTTTCAAAGGAGGTGAGCCGTGAACCCTAGTGGCCTCACTTCCATAGTTTCTGGGGCTGTACTTCATTCTGAATTTCAAATTTTAGTATTCGGTTGCCTAAATGAAGTAAGGTATTCCTTTAAATTTTGTTTTATCTCAATTTGTTGGCCACCCAATGACTTTTTGAAAAAGAGTTATGTTAAGGAGACACATGGCCTTAAAACAGCAAACCACATTGGGCTGGATTTCAAATTGAGGCTTCCATCTTGAAACAAAACGGTAACTGAGAATAAGTTTTCATTTTCACGCAGACACACCTAAAATTTAAACCCATAGTATGTACCTAGAGGAACAAAATGCTAGTTTAGGAGCTGCTGAACCTAAACTAGCAGCTTTCATTAAGAAGAAATCTTAATTAAAGCTTCATTAATCTTTCATTAAGAAGAAAGATTTTCTTCTTAATGCTACTGAACAGATGTCTTCCTCTATCCATGAATCGAAATATAGATAATCACTTGGGCCCTAGGATTTGTTTAGGAAATGAAAGAAGTACAAGAAGACTTAAGTTGTATGATTTTTTTTAAAATCCATTAACTTTTCTTTTAAAGGATTTACAGGTGTGGAAAGGATGGCCCCAGTCTGAAATTTTATTCCCAGCTTGTGTTCAGTTTCCTGCGCTCCCCCGCCCCCACCCCCCTCGCTTGACAGGGAAGCTTCGGTCACAACAGATGACCAATGAATTGTGCGTGTGGTTTCTTCTCTTTTGCTTCTTTTCTTTTCTGCCAACTCTGTCAAAGGCAGCCCAGCGTGAATCAGAAGTGCTGGCTGAACACTTACCCCAGAAGTCTGAGATGGTTTGGTAATCACAGCATTTACATTTGAATGTCATCTAACACCAGAGCAGTGATTAACCAGTGACTACAGAGTCACATCCTAAGTAGAGTAATACTGTGATTTTTTTCTGGGTTTTCATGTTCTGGACCCAAGGAGTTGGAAGAAGAGAGAGAGAGAGAACAAAACCCATCCACCTCAGAGTTTTCTAGTGAGGTCTGACATCTGCCATTCTAAAAAGTTTCAGGTGTGTCCTCTAAACCTCACCTTGAAACAGCCTCTTGCACTGTATAAAAGTTAGGCTTTTGGAACAAAATCTTTTGAAACAACTACAACAAAAAGTATGCTTCAATGGCATAACTTTTTTTTAGCATTTCAATCCTTCATATTTAACATTTTTCCTCTCAGCTTGATCGGAGGGAGGGCTTTCTGAGAAACCCTCTTTCCAATGAATCTCAAAACAGCTTCTGAGGTCATCTGTGACTCGGGCCAGCCTCTCAGCAACCTCTGTGTGAGGATTGTTTCTCTATATTAAATGCTGTATGTTCCGAATGTGTGTCCTTCAGAGCCAGGAGCTCACAGGAGCCATGTGACCCCTGACTTCACAGCAGGCCACCTTCAACCCTGTGAAGGGAGGGGAAGGTGCCATAGCAGGCATTGGTGATGGGAATGCCAAAGGTTATGTGTAACATGAGAGACCGGCCCCTCCTCATTCAACCTGATCCTGAAAGAAGGAGCATAAGCTTGAAGACATGAGTCCTTTAAATATCATTCCTGTAAACTCATATTGCCCTGGTTTCTGTTTTCCCAAATGGTAAATGTATCCTTTCCAGACAGATCCCATCAAAACCCACAAGTACCTAAGGACAGTCTCTCGGTTCTCATGTCTCTAGCACGTCATGCGGCTGCCCTTTTCCCAGTAGCCCCATCTGTTTTCCATAAGGGCCGCACTCTGTCACTTTATAAATTTGCTACGGCAATTGTCTCCTGCTTTTTCACATGGGACCTTGAAAATCGTTTTTGGCCTTTACACAAAGGATCGGTTACAAAGCTCCTCATACTGTGGTTAGAAATCGAGTCACTTTCCAAGTTGCCGTTCTTATGCAAGATGTTCCCAACTTTTGCAAGAATTATCAACTTTTACAAAAGTTCATTTATCTCATGGTTACCTGGAACTAAAGGGGCAATTTGTCATAGACTCTGCTGCGGTTACGTATGGGTCCCCAGGCCAGCCCACAGGGCTGTTTAAATGTGTCCCTGAATTATTATACTAACGTGCTGTTTGAAGGCCCTAGAGAGAATGTGACCGGCGGGCGTTTTACCTTATATCATCACTTTCTTTGACTCTGACAAACATTTCTTCCAGATAGTACCTCTTGCCATTCATAAGAGAGTCATAAGCATGTTAAGCCTCTTGCTCAATGTCATTCGTATAGCTGGTACTTGGAAAATGGAAATGCCAACCAATTTCAAAGCCCCTGCCCTTACCATTCCCTTCTCCAGGCCATCCCTCCTGGATAATACCGCTTTTGTGGGAGCGCTCTCTGGGCTAGGAAGCACCTCCCCTGTGGGGAGAGGAGAGGAGGGAAGCTGTATTCTCATGGACACATTTTTAATTTCATATGTTTACATAAGGAGGCTCAGATGTTCCTCAGCCATTATTGTTACAGGAAAGGGGCCCTGATCCAGACCCCAAGAGAGGATTCCTGGATCTCACCCAAGAAAGAGTTCGGGGCCAGTCCGCAGTGCAAAGTAAAAGCAAATTTATTAAGAAAGTAAAGGAATAAAAGAATGGCTACTCCATAGACAGAGCAGCCGCAAAAGCTGCTGGTTGCCCTTTTTTATGGTTATTTTTTGATGATATGCTAAACAAGGGGTGGATTATTCATGCCTCCCCTTTATAGACCACATAGGGTAACTTCCTGACGTTGCCATGGCATCTGTAAACCGTCATGGCGCTGCTGGGAGTGTAGCAGTGAGGACGACCAGAGGTCACTCTTGTGGCCATCTTGGGTTAGGTGTGTTTTGGCCGGCTCCTTTACTGCAACCTGTTTTATCAGTAAGGTCTTTATGACCTGCCTTTTGTGCCGACCTCCTGTCTCATCCTGTGACTTAGAATGCCTTAACCATCTGGGAATGCAGCCCAGTAGGTTTCAGCCTCATTTTACCCAGCTCCTGTTTAAGATGGAGTTGTTCTGGCTCACATGCCTCTGACATTATGAATTGGAAAGTGGAGGCTGTCACCCCAGGAGGGACAGGACCAGGGCTTGGGAACTCAGCTGCACCTGGGGAATGAACAGAAAACAAAAAGCTTTGTAACAAAGCTTGACAAAGTCTTTGAAGACAGATCACCATCTGTCTTCATCTAAGGCCTGTGTGCCTGGTGGTGGATTATCAGATTGGGGGTGGGGGAAAGCACACTGTTTTAATTTTTATTAAAGTTGGAAGAGGAGTTTTAAAGGATACGAAATCCTGATTGGTAGGAGGCTGACATGGATTTCAGCTGCAATGGCAATAATAGCCACAGAGCTATTGCATCACTTAAGAAATGACTGGCTCCTCCCTCCCCTCGACCCTGCTCTTCCCTCTGCAGCTCTGTGCTCTCCACACACACATCCTCTCTTCATCTGGCACCTCCACCAAATTGCTCAGGCTTCAGTCTTGGGGTTACTTTCTCCGTTGGGGCTTCCTGGGTACCTCCTTTGGACCTCTCTTGCTCCATGTTCCCCATCTGGTCAGTGTTGATGGAATAGTGGTTCTAGACTAGAAGGAGCTAATGTTCTCAGACAAGAGCAAGAAACCCCAAAGGTGACATCATCTTACATAATTAAACTCAGTGCTGCCACGTTTAATTCTGTATAGGCTTTTAAATCTCTAATAGCATTGTTCTCTTTATTACAAACATTATCACATAATTATGAAGTGGTAAAACTTTAAGGATGCAACTAAAAGGGAAGAAAAAATGTTTTCCTCTACCCTTTTAGGTTTAGAACCTGGGACCCTGCCAATAAAACTGACTAAAGACAGATTAAGGCCAGGCACAGTGGCTCACGCCTGTAATCCCAGCACTTTGGGAGGCCAAGGCGGGCAGGAGTTCAAGACCAGCCCGGCCAACATGGTGAAACCCTGTCTCCTAAAAACACAAAAATTAGCTGGGCATGGCGGCATGCGCCTGTAGTCCCAGCTAAGGAGGATGAGGCAGGAGAATCACTTGAACCCGGGAGGCGGAGGTTGCAGTGAGCGAAGATCATACCACTGCACTCCAGCCTGGGCAACAGAGTGAGACTCCGTCTCAAAAAATAAGAAATAAAGGCAGATTAACAGGAGAAAAGGCCATACTTGCACTTGATGTCAATATTTTAATTTTTACATGTACAGGGGAATCTCACAGAAGAAATGAAAGCCCAAGGAAATGGTTAAGCCTAAGAGCTTCTATACCATTTTAACAGAAAGCAATACATGATTTGAGAAATGACAAGACAAAGGAAAAGGCTTCGGGCTTCTAGGAGCAGTAAATTGTGGGACGGTAAATATATGGGGGAAACTGATGGAAGACGGGGCTATTTCGTGAGGTTTGTTTATGCAGATTCAAGTCGGTAGTGTCCCCAGTGGTGAGTCATCTCACTTCCTCTTGCTCCTGTGGGAGAAGGGAGGGAGTCTGGGGGTGACAACTTCACAAAGGGAAATTTGTGCCCTGCCTCTAAGCAGAAAGGTGGGTAGAGAGCTTTTCCTGCATCTGCTCTTTCTCCAATTGCCTTCAACTCAAAATAATCCTTATGCGAAAGTAGCATATTTGCATATTTCAAGATGACATACTCTGAGCCCCTTCACAACTTCCTGATCTTGTTCCACATTCCTTTCACGAATTGGAAAACCCAGGATCTGAGGGAGTCCTCGTGGATCACCAAGGCCGAGCCCAGCCTGTGGCCTCTGCGAGCCTGTCGCCACACCAGGCTGTCCTTGCCCTCGGTGGGGCCCGAGCACATGGTACACAGGAAAGACTTGCCCGGGTCCTTGCCCTGTTGCCTCTTGTTACCTTCCCACCAGGGCTCTGCAGGAGCCTGGGCTTGAAATCTAGCTCTTCCTTTTGCTAACTGCGTTTATGGGAGTCAATGAATTAGTTTTTCCCAAGCTTCAAATAAGAATGTTAACACTGGGGGCAGGACAAGGCAGGATTTAAAAAAAAAAAAAAAAAGGGAATTGTAACACTTAACACAGAGCTTGTTGTGCAGATGATAAAAGGCACTGTGCCCAGTACCTGGCACCTACAAGGCCTCCCTGAATACTCACCACTCTCCCCAGCAGCACCACTGGCAGCTCTGTAAATGGCACCTCCGCCTTAGGCACACATAGTCACTGAGTGCAACTGTGTGGGGTGGGCTGGCGATTTGCTCCAACAAACAGGCCTCCTGGCTCTCCTGTGGTTGAAGCAGCCCTGAGGAACTCTGCATTTGTGTTTAGCGCAGAGCCCTCAGAGGCTACATTCATGACGGATGCTCATGCCCTTGTGTAAATATGCTTAATAAAGCTAGTCTGCCAGGAGTGGTGGCTCACACCTGTAATTCCAGCACTTTGGGAGGCTGAGGTAGGAAGATTGTTTGAGCTCAGGAGTTCAAGACCAGCCTGGGCAATGTAGCAAGACCTTGTCTACTATAAATTTTAAAAATCAGCCAGGCATGGTGGCATGTGCCTGTAGTCTCAGCTATAGGGACGCTGAAGTGGGAGGCTGAAGTGGGAGGACCACTGGAGCCCAGGAGGTCAAGGCTGCAGTGAACTGTGATCACACCAGTGCACTCCAGCCTAGGTAAAAGAGGGAGACCTTGTCAAAAAAAAAAAAAAAAAGCCTACTACAGTTATTTCTTAATTTACTCAATTTCTTAGCTGAACACATTGGGTAATAAATTTCCACATGGAAGTTGTGCCTGATTTCTGTGGTCTGATTTCTGTGGTCTGATTCAGGGCGTGTTGAGCCTCTGGTAAGTGCTGAATACAATGCTAGACGTTAGGAAGGACACAGGTGACAGAGTGGTTTTCCTTTTCAAGGAGCTCGCTGCTGTGGCAGTGTAGGGCTTGCAGCCACCTGGCTTGCCAGGAACATTGAGTTATGTGAGAAGAGCAGCCTGTGAGAAGGGGAATAGGCCTGGGACGAAATCATGGAGGACCATGGTTGGTGGGCTCAGAATTTGGACTGACGTAGCATTTTTAGCAGTATTGAAATAGAACAGAGCTGGGCTTTAGGGGCAGTAACCTGCCAGCAGGATGTCAGATGGATTAAAGGGAAGAACTCTTTGGTAGCAAAAGCCCTGGTCACAGGCGACTATGGCAGTCCAGGTGAGAACAATGTGGGCGTGGCATGGAGGTGCTGTCTCCTCCTTCCCGCCACCCAAGTGGATGATCACACACACATTCTGACTCGCAGCCTCCCACCTTCTTGGGAAACATTTGCTTAACTGCTGAGTTAGGTGAGGTGCAAATCTGTGTGTGTGCATTTTCTACAACTTCCAGCAGGCACTCCTAGGAGAAGAGTCCAGATTTCTCTCTTTTTTTTTTTTTGAGATGGAGTCTCGCTCTTTCGCCCAGGCCGGAGAGCAGTGGCGCCATCTCGGCTCACTGCAAGCTCCACCTCCTGGGTTCACGCCATTCTCCTGCCTCAGCCTCCCGAGTAACTGGGACTACAGGCGCCCGCCACCGCGCCCGGCTAATTTTTTGTATTTTTAGTAGAGACGGGATTTCACCGTATTAGCCAGGATGGCCTCGATCTCCTAACCTCTTGATCCGCCCGCCTCGGCCTCCCAAAGTGCTAGAATTACAGGCGTGAGCCACCACACCTGGCCTGAGTCCAGATTTCAGTCAGCTCATTTATAAACTCAGATATCTTATTAGGTTGGTGCAAAAGTAATTACGGTTTTTGCCATTAAAAATAATGGCACCAATCTATAGAACTGGAGGGAGAGATGGAGCCCCCAGGAAAGAAGAGCCCCCAGCTTAGCATCTATTTGCCAGTCCAAGCTGTGCATGCAGCAGGGCATGCATGTGATACACGCAGTGTGACCTGTCGAGTCACCTGTGGGGTATGTGAGAGCCCTGCTCACTGAGGCCTTGTCCCCACCTGATACATGGGGCGAGAGGAATTCACCCCAGAGATGGCTGAGACTCAGGGAGGATGCTGTCACTAAATTCCCTGTGCAGGACTTGGCTGAGAACTAGCATTCTGTAGTGTTAGAGTCCTCATGGCCCTGTCCACGTGGGCAGGAAATTCAAAGGCAGACACTGTGTGAGACAAGCTCTGTCAAAAACAAGATGGCCCAAGAACAAGATGGCACCAGAGCAAGATGGCATGGGGTGTTAGAAGGCCTCGGAGCCTCCGCCGCTGCTGAGAATGCACCGTTTTGCTTGGGTTTAGAGGAAGACCTCTTACTGCTCCCACCTGCTAGTATTTTCCTCAATCACAGACCTGTTTCTTGAAAACCCCTTTCCAGTTGATGGCCTGATCTGACCCTTTGTTTCATTAGCTGGTGCCATTATGTTGACTAGAACACGAAAGGATTTTCTGATTTGGTAGAGGAGGAGGAAGCTGATTTTAACTGCTGTACGTTCTATCAGCCTCAACTTTTCTTTTTATTGTAATCTCCATTTTTACAAAAACCCAAAAGTAATCCTAGGGACTTGTATTCTCCAAAGGCAATATGGTGAGAGGCCCGGAGAGCCCCTGGTGTGGAAATCACAATTTGCTTTTGCTACCAACTAACTCTGTGACCTTATTTTCCCCTTGAATAAAATAAGCAGGTTGGACAAGGATCAGCAGCTGCAGACTGGCAGTGTGCAGTCAGTCCCTGACCCTGCTCATGTTCTGTGTGACCTAGACAGTGTTTTGTTTTCTAATTGAATTTAAAGGCCTTTAAACTGGGCAAGCACCGGGCGATGTGCCACAGGCTCCGCCCCTAGCACCCGGCGGGCTTCACACGTTCCTTATCTGCCTAGCATTTGACTCTGCCAACCGTGGTGGGTGTTCTCTGAGTTTCCTTTTATCTGAAATAGGCTGAGAAATTTTGAATTTCTTTGCAACTTCAGGTTTCTTGTGCTTCTGCCTGCCTTGCCCTTTGGGTGTTGGAAGAACTCTTTTTTTTCATTGAAAAAAAAAAAAGTCACATGCCTGCTGTTGGTTAAAAAGCCAACATCTACGCTGGGCGCAGTGGCTCATGCCTGTGATCCCAGCACTTTGGGAGGCCGAGGCGGGTGAATCGCCTGAGGTCAGGAGTTCAAGACCAGCCTGGCCAACATGGTGAAACCCCATCTCTACTAAAAATACAAAAATTAGCAGGCACGATGGAAGGTGCCTGTAATCCTAGCTACTCAAGAAGCTGAGGCGGAAGAATAGCTTGAACCCAGTAAGTGGAGGTTGCAATGAGCCAAGATTGTGCCATTGCACTCCAGCCTGGACAACAAGAGTGAAACTCCATCTCAAAAATAAAAAAATAAAAACAGCCAACATCCAGTTACCCCAAGGCCAGTAGGCCAATAGGTGTTATAAACTCTAAAGCAGCTTAGCTTTGTTTTATTTTTAATATGCTAATGCTACAATGGAAAAATTAATTATAGGATCTCAGGGCTGAGATGTATAAAACTCTTCAGTGTTCAGAACACTGCTTTTCAAAGGGTGTTCCCTGAAGCAGCAGCATCACCATTCCCAACCTCATCCGCTTATGAGGAGGATTCAGTGGCTAATATTTGCAAAGTATACTGCAGTGGTTCTTCAGCTGGAGCCAGCATCAGAATTACTGCACAGCTTGTTGACACAGATTGCTGTTCCCAGCCTCAGTTTCTGATACAGTAGGACTGAGAAGGGCCCCGACTCTGTGTTTCTGAGGTGGTGGCCCCAGGTGAGGCTGCTGCTGCAGGTCTGGGGCCACACTTGCAAACCACTGTCGGGGAGGCACTCTCCTCTGTGTGGTCGCAACATGGGGAAGCAAGAGGGCAGGGATTACTATTTTATATAGCATGGTCAGGGCAAAGCTTCTGGGCAAGATGGCTCTTAGAGACCTGAGAAAAGGAGGAGGGAGATATGCAACTCCCTGGGGAGGACAGACGGGGAGTGCACAGCCCAGAAGGGGGGTGTGCTTGCTGGGTTAGAGGAGCAGCAGGGAGGCCAGTGTGGCTGAAGTGGAGCGATGGGGCGGGGAGGGGCAGGTGATGTGGTCTGAGGGATGCGGGAGGGGTGGAAATCACATGGGTCACTGTGAAAGACTTTGCTTTCACTCTGAGTGGAACAGGAGCCCTTGGAGGGGCACGTGTGGTGTGAAATTAGCTATCACCCAGAGTGATTGTGATTTTATGATGCTGCCTCTTCTGAACTGACCGTATTTCAGGGCAAAGAGCTGGCCCTTGTTGCTGAATACAAGTTCTTCCTTCCAAAGTAATTCAAGGTGAAAACAGTATACAGTGAAGGATGGAATTAGAAAATCAGATCACCATTTTGCACTCCCTACAAAACCTTTAGGGAAAATGTTGGTGAACAACTCTAGGATGGGAGGCTGAGGCGCCGCCGCTTTGCTCCATGGGTCAGTGGTAGCGTCATTCCCAGTAGGTGACCTCCTGCGGGGCAGCACCGTGACGCACAGGCACCAGCTGCGATACGCTCTTCCAAAAACCTGAACCTGGGTCTCACCAGACATTAGGTGGAGCTTCCAGTTTAGAGATTAAACCAGGGCATGAAGGAACATGTGAACGACATCACGGGACAGTCACATAAAACCAGCGGTTTCTTCAAGTTCCATGGGGAAAGAGGGTCGGGGGAAGTCTGCTCTAGACTGAAGGAGAATTAAGATATGTAATATGTGGATCTTGTTTGGATCCTGATTTAAAAAAAAAACTATAAAGAGACTTTTTTGAAGTAATTGAGTAGGTTGGACACAGACTAGATATTGAATAATATTAAAGAATTATTGTTAATTTTGTTAGATGTGAAAATGTCTTTTTTAGGAGAGACATATTTGTATTTAAAAGTAGAATGACATGATTTCAGGAATCTGATTTAAAATATTACAGAGAAGAGAGGGAAAGAGGCAGAAGAACCAAAAGGGCAACATATCCAAAATATTCATGACATGATTCTCTCTTCTTTGTGAATATATGAACATTCAAAAGAAAAGTGTTTTTAAATCCAGATGCAAGAGAAGATGGGAAAATGAGAGAAGAAGAGAAAAGAAGACTTACTTGGAAAGACTAAGTTGCTAATAATTCTTCTCTATTTAGAAGTATTATGCCAAAGAGTAAAATATATTTACTATTACTAGATGTCACACAGTAGTGATGCTGTGAACTGGTATTGAGATCTATTCTGTTTACCATACGCCCAGCCCCTGATTCCCTGATTGCTTGCCAAGCTCATAAAATAATGACAATTGATGATGACACTGATGATGAGAAATAAAAGTCAGATCATCTTCCCTGCCCTCCGACAGCTGGGGAACTGAGAGCATGCTGTTATGGGACAGAGCTTGAAGTAATTTAGGGCTCGGCTGTTTGGCCACATGCCTCGGAGGTTTCAAATCTGAAGGCCTGTGAGGCTCCATTTGCTCAAAAGCGTGATATAATTCTACAAACATGGTCACTCACTGCGTATGATTTTGATCCGTAGAATGGATAGCACCAGAAAAACTGAGGATTGGGAATTGTCACTTTGGAACTGGTTGTTGGAAAACCTGGGTGGTAAGCTGTGCTCTCCACCTTAAAGCCACCCTGTCCCGTCTCTGCTCCTTCAGTTAGCTTGACAATGAACAACAGACCTGAAAGGAAAGAATTCCAGTGGATGGGAGGGGATTCTGATGTTTGAAGTCGTTCCTCTCCTTGGCTTTCTCTGCTGTTTTTAAATACTAGGAGACTGAAAGTGTCATTAATTTAAATTCTTAAGCATGTGCTGCTGAGCATCAGTCTTTGTTTTTACACAGAAGAGATTGCTGAGCATTCAAATCCCTGTTCCTCATTTGAGTCATTATAATGTTAGTTTTAAAGAAAAAACAGAAGGTAGTAAAATCTGAAAAGAAACTGAACTCTGTGGCTCATGTTTGGTTTTATGGTTGATTTTCCTCAAATTATTATCCACATATAAATATATAGAACCATGATGTGGACTTTGATGAGTTCCCACGTAGGGTGCCGGGCCAGCTTCTACAGAGTCACTGGCCAGTCTCTTCCATGGTGACTATAATTGATTGGGGGGCACTGGTAAAGTGACTGAACTAGGGAGGAAAAAATGTTCACATTTATTCATGCGACAAGTATCTGAGCTTCTGGTGTGTGTCAGGCACAGTCCTAGGCTCTGAGGAGCAGCAGTAGGCAAAACCTGAAAAGCCCTTCCCTCCTTGGAGCTTAGATTCTGGTGGGGCACAGAGGAGGCCATACCTGAAGATAGCTTCTGCCTGCAGCAGAGATATGGGGTAATACAGGGGAAGCTGGCTTCAGCTCCCATCTTGTTTATTTCTTAACTGTGGGATCTTGGACCAGTCCCTTAATCACCCTGAGTTTCAGGGTCCTCTCATGTAAAATGAGCATTAAAAACAATACCTACATAATACAGTCATTGTGCAGATTAAATGAATTTAACACAGGAAAAATACCTCCCAAAGCATTTAGCTTTCAGCAAGTGAGAGCTGTTACTTCGCCTAGTAGTGCAGACATGATAGGTATTCAATTGGTAGTTAATTCAGTATTTCTGCATTTGAGCATTTAATGCCTATGTCTACATGTCTGGCAGACACTGGAATGTGATTTGTAAGAAATACTTAAAATTTCTCTGTTTTTTAAAATTTTCCCTTTCTCTAAATGGAGAAAACTACTCTTTCAGATTCTTCTGACCATTACTTTGGGTTGGCAGATCCTAAGTTAAGAGGAAAGAGGACGCCTTCCACGCGGAAGGGGAGATGTAGAGCTGTAATGGCAAGCTTTTACAGGAATACCCTCAAATGCTATTTGGGTCTCCATGACTGGCAATTTCAGGCCCTTCTGCTATAATAAGGAATTCCACAATCACATGTCCCAAAGTCTATTTTCCAGGATTCTGGGGGCCATGCGTCCTTGCCTGTGGCAGTAATTATTGAGTGGTGTGTTCACTTCCAGGCCCACTTGGGGAGTGACAGGAAGGAGGGAGGGTGCAGGGAAGAGGAGAGAGGCTCGCATGGTGGTCTGGGAGATGGTGAGGCCAGCGAGTAAGAGGAAGCTCCCTGCAGTTCTCCACTTTGCCAGGGAGGGGCGCAGTCCAGGATGATGGGGCTGTCTTCAGAGGACTGTGGTGGTCTCCAGGTGGGTGTCAGCAGCTTAGGGCCAAGCCTGAACCAGGTTGGTGGAAGCCCAGCGAGGCAGGCAGCATGGCCAGCCCTCCAGTCTCTGTTGAGAAAACTGCACCTCCTTCCTTTCCACATTTTCCCGCTGCTGGTGGAAATGGGCTTCTAGTCTATTGGATGATGGAGGAGGGCTGGGAGAGGGGAGGAGAGGGGTGATCCACTTGTAAGGACAGCGGGTTTGGAGAAGTGGCCTCTTTGAATCCTGTGTGTTCTGGGGCTGGGCAGGGCGGTGGGATCCCCAAGCCCCGGTGTCCTAGTGGCCCAGTCGGCCTTCGCAGAGGCTTCCCCTTGGGAGAGGATGGCCGGGCCGTTCAGCAGTGGCCTCTGGAAGGATTTCTCGTTCCGCAGGCCTGTTCCAGGAATTGTGTTTAATTTAGGAGCCTGAGCAGTGTGGGCAGACGCTGTCCTTTCCTGAGCCCGTCTCACCTCCCTCTGCCAGTGAGTTGTGCAGACTTGCCCTGTCCCGAGAGTGGCCTTGGGCCTGCAGAGTGCCCGGGGCAGCTTAGCAGGGTGGCCTCATGTCTGTGAGGCCAGCGACACATAGGAAGCCTTCCGTGGCTTCAGTATGAGCCAGGTGCGCTCGAGTGCTTCGTGAGTGTCGTTTTCTCATGACCACCTCATGTGGTAGGTACGATCGTTACCTACCTTGGCTGCAAGGACACAGGCTCAGAGCGGCTGAGTAACTTCACACCGCCCAGCAGAGGCCGGGGAGGAATCTAACCCCCACCTCTAGGCCAGAGCGGGCGCCTCATCCCATACCCTGCATGGCACGCTTTGTTCCGCGGGCACAATTCTGTGAATTCCTGTCCTCTGGCTTAAGTATTGTCAGTCAACTTAATATATTCCTTTGTTACTTGCCAACTCCAGTCCAGAAAAATCCTGTACTCTCATTTCAGAGAAGCCAGGAGCACTTAGCAATCCCAAGAAAATGTATATTCTCTCTATGGTCATAAGCATTCAAGAGTTTCTTAAACGTATTTAAGGAAGAATAAGTGTTGTGTTTTATTCATTTGTGCATTATGGGAGGATGGGCCTTTTTTTTTCAAAGATTGGCTTCAAAAGGTTTTTAAAATTTTATTTATAATCACTGAATCCAATGAACAGTTAGATCGGTGTGTGTGTTTGTGGGGGATGAGGGAGGTGGGGGGAGAATGTTAAAACTTTGGCCACCCCTGGTATTTCTGGTGGGCAGATGCCTTAGCCGCTGGAGCTGGGGCCAAGCCCTGCTCAGTAGCACAGCTCGGACCTTTGCGTGCTCCCTGGGGCTCCTCCCTGGGTGCTGCAGTGTTTTGACAGACGGTCCCTTGAGCTTGGCAGTGCCCTGTGAGGCTGGGACCTGGTCCAGGCTGGCCGGGGAAGAGAAGCAGGGACAGGATGAGAGAGTGGGGAGTAAGAAGGGGAGGGAGGGGGTGCAGCTTCGGAGATGGGCTTCACGGGAGGCCTCGTGTGAGCCTGTGTGATGGGCAGGACCTCCTGACCTCCGCCTCAGAGTTCAACCAGAGAAGAGGAAACAACAGGAGATATTTAGAGATTTTCTGCGAGGAATTGGCCCACACGACTGTGAGGGGTGGCCAGGCTGACATCCATGAGGGGCCAGCGGGAGGGCCAGCCATCAGGACTCCAGGGCATGGGGGCGGGCACTGCCGTCCACAGGTGGAATCTTCTTCCTCCTCAAGGAAGCCTCGGCCCTATGTTCAGGTCTTTCAACAGATGAGGCGAGACCCACCCAAATTATCTAGAAGCCCCTCGCTCAAAGTCAGCTCTCTCCTGGCAGCACCGGGGTTCCTGTTTGAGCAAATGCCTAAGACTGCAGCCCCGCCACGTGACACATCAAACCCCCACACCCCACTCCCTCAGGCCTTCCTCCTCCGTCACATAAAGTGTCTACCCTGGGAAGCGCAATGTGCTTTTCCTCCTGAAAATTTGTAAGAATCTGACGACTTCCGAAAAGCGTATCTCCCAGAGCTGTGGCCTCCTAACAATGCCACTTTTCTATCAAAGCCTCCGGGCGGCCTCTGTGCTCAGACTTAGTCATGGTCCCTGTTGATTCACTAAACAAATGCCTCAGTTCAGTCTCAGCTACGTACTGTTTCATTCTCACAACCCTCAGTAATCTCTCTGCTTATCGACAAAGTATATCTAGTTGCCAAGAGTAGCTTGTAAGCATTCTTCATTAAGGTGTTAGGGGAAAAGTAACGGTTGTTTGTTTGGTTGGTTGTTTTTTAGAGACAGGATCTCACCATGTCGAATGAGACCAATGAGCGACTTGGCAATAATTATATTGTTATGCAGGTTGGGCATCCCTAATCAGAACATCTGAAATCTGAAATGCTCTAGAATCTGAAACTTTTTGAGCACCTAAATGACACCACAAGTAGAAAATTTCACACATGACCTTATATGATGGGTCTCAGTCAAAACTTTGTTTCATGCACAAAATTATTCAAAATCTCATATAAAATTACCTTCAGGCTATGTATATAAGATTTATATGAAACATAAATGAATTTTGTTTTTAGACTTGGGTCCCTTGCCCAAGATATCTCGTTATGTATATGCAAGTATTCCAAAATCTGGAAAAATAATGCACGAGATTGTAACACATAGCACCTATGTTCTAGCACTATATGCTGTTTAGTGCTCACAACACCCCATTTTGCAGACAAAAAAACTGAGGCACAGAACTCCTAACTGACTGAACCAAGGTCACAGCTTCTATGTACCAGGAGCAGGATTTGAACTTGGGCACTCTAGCTACGGAGTCCAGGCTTTTAACCACAGCAGTGGAAGTGCTACATGCTGGCCACTTGAGATAGTTTAATGTTTGAATCTTTGATGCATCACCCAAGATACTTTCTTGTGGCCCTTAAATGTTTTACATAATCAGGGAGAGTCTGGCTGCCCATGAATGAAAATCTACTAAAAGGATTTGGGTTTGGTTCCATTGGCAAAGAAATTGATTCTAGTAAGTACCGGGACACAGCTGCCAGCCAAGGTCTTCCACGGGCACTGTGGACACCTGCCTGTGAGTGATCTACTCTCCACAGTAGCCAGGCCCTGAAGGGGCAGTTGGATTGGGGACATCATTCCCTGCCTTTCAAGCCCAAGGCCAGTGGCCCCTGGCCAGGCGACTGGAACCATCTTCAAGGTGTGGGAGCTGCTGCACCAAATGCTTCTGCTTGCAGAGCCCAGCAAAAACTATCCACCTGCAGTCCCCGTCCCTCCCAGCAGAAACGATCCACCTGCAGTCCCCGTCCCTCCCAGCAGAAACGATCCACCTGCAGTCCCCGTCCCTCCCAGCAGAAACGATCCACCTGCAGTCCCCGTCCCTCCTGATGGATGCCGGGACTCAAGGCTGAAATGTCCTCATGTGTTCTTTCCTCTCCCACTTCCAAAAAAACTGATTTGTCATCTTCCAGAGAAACTTGTGATTAATGGCAATCCTCAAGTGCCTGCAGTTTCTTAATCATTGCTTTCTTTTACAAAAACATCTTTATAGCCACCTTCAGAATATAGTTAGATTCAAGCAGTTTGGAAAGATTTACTGGTGAGTCAAGACAAAAAAAGGTAGTTAACTGCAGATGGCCATACCTGTGTCCTTACATCAAGCCGCTGTGTTTTTCCATTGCCTAGGCAGCAATGCTAAAATACCAAGTCTCTGCTGGAGTGCTCTGCATTTTTCTACCTGCTGAAATAAAGTCAAGGCTCTGCTAGGATTCCTAGCAAAAACAGAAGGAGTGGAGAGGTCAGAAAATTATTCCACTTCTCCAGCTCCCACCGATATGTCTGTGAGGCAAAACATGCTTACAGTTTTGGAGAAATGCGGTGAGCCAGTGCTTCTCAAGGAGTTGTCTGGGGAGCTCATTAAGATGCAGATGCTGATTCTCTAGGTCTGGGTGGGGCCTAAGATGCTGCATTTCTAACAAGCTCGCATGTGATCGCATGCGATACCGACACAGCAGGTTCACACGCTACACTTCAGGCAGCAAAGGGTTAGGGGCCACGCCGACCACTTGTTTACAGGAGAGGATTGAGACAACCTTTGGAGGAAAAGCTATGACCATTTAATAATTGTCATATTGACAGTCACACTAAGAGATGTGCCAGCCACAGCAACTCACTTGTAGCAAGAGGAGACTGAAGCCAGACTGGTCCAGCAAGGGAGCATTTTCCCTGCTCATCCGCAAACCTAGAACCTGGTCTGGGAAGTGGCCTCATGATCCCTTGTGTGACATCACATCAGTGTAGATTAGGATGTGGGGTTAGACATCCCAAAGGGAGACTCTGGTAAAAGAAGTGTAGTTGCAGATATTTTCATTGTATCATGTCACTAAAGAGAGGTATTGAAGAGAAAAACAGCAAGCAATATATGTCTGCTGTACCAGCAAACCACTGATACGACGCCATCATGCTGTTTCCACATTATCTCTTTGACTTTGTTTAAAGGTTACCTGGATGGCCAAGTGCTGAATTTCCTTATCTGATACTAGCCCATGCTGAGCTTCCAACACTGAATTTACCGTGGCTAATATAGATTTCTGGTTTCCATAGCAGCCAATTTACTGCTTGTGCTTAATAAATGAAAACAAGACCTACAACTGTTAGTCTTTTCTTAAAAGACCTATTTTTCTTTATTATTTTTGAGAGCAGAAATGCCAGATCTGGACCCTGCTAGGTAGTGATCTTTTAAGTGAACCTGACCTATGGTACCAAAAGGAACAGCATTGCAGCAAATGGCTGAGAGTGAGCCATTTAATCTTGTTTTCCTAATTAAATGGTAGAAACCTCTTTATAAGCAATAATCAGTGAAATCTGGTTTCTCTCTTGTTCACTGATAGCTATGATGATGATCTGTTTGCTTGTGGCTGAGCAGCAATGGAAATTCTGATGGCATTATTATTTTTTTCCAGCAGATGAGCTGCTGTAGGAATTGGCTGGCATGGTGCCCTCTCCTTGTTAGGGCTGGTAATATCCTTGTAGCCAAGCATAATTCATCTGTACTCTCTCTAGTCTGCTTCCCTTATTGCCTTCTGACCTCCTACCTCTGCTGTGGTCTCTAGACACCCAGCAGATGAGCTGTCACAGCTGATCCATGAAGCCCACCATCCAAACAGCCTCCAACACACAGGCATAAAAAGTGTTCTCTCCGAAGGGTCTGTCTTCTTCCTCTTCTTCTTCTTCCCCCTCCTCCTCCTTCCCCTTCTTCTTCTTACCTTATGTTTGAAAGAGCAAGCAAGCAAGAAGCCTTTAGAGAATACTGCATATTGCCGGAGAATCACAAATAAATGTACATGCTCTGTAGGGAAAATAATATATATAAAACCCAGCTGCTTTTTCTACTATAAAGGGCTTTCATTATGGTGATTCACGTAGTAGTAAGTCTGTATTGGTTGTCACTTGGGTGCCACAGATTAAAGTTTTCTGATCATCTTTTTGACTCAAGGTCAAAGTAAAAGAATAGATTCTTGCAAATAAGAGGGGCCGTGGTCATTTGTTGAAAATAGACACTGTTTTTGGTTTTGGAGCTACAAAGATGAATTAGACATGGGCCTTGCCCGGGGGTGGTGTCCAATAGAGACAGAGAAAGGATGCATGACTCACCCGTGTTGCAGTGGCCCACAGAACTCCCACGTGGAGAAGGGGCTTTCTGGTAGGGTCATTGCTATATGATCTGAGTCAGCCTTATTGTTGGTTTTTGTCTTGTTTAATAGATAAGCTGAGACTTAGCTCAGTCTCCCTCTGTCTCACAGTGTGAGTAGGTTGCCTGGAACTCGGAGTGCTCAAGGAGCCCTGGAGTGAGAACCAGAAGAAGGGGTGGGTGGTGCATATGGGTAGGAGTGAGTATATGGGCATGCCTGGTGTCCTGTCTAGAGGTCGAGATGGCCCCTAATACAGCATCATGGACAGGAAGGAATGGCGACAGGATGGGCACGAGGGGGGAACGTGC
The DNA here is from genome assembly GCF_000001405.40 of Homo sapiens. Taxonomy (NCBI): domain Eukaryota; kingdom Metazoa; phylum Chordata; class Mammalia; order Primates; family Hominidae; genus Homo; species Homo sapiens. Next base: position 3,324,355 of record NC_000006.12, on the reverse strand, counting down.
TGGACAGCAAGCTCAGTGACGTCTGGAGAGCAGAGGAAGCAGGAACAATGGGCGATCTGTCCCATAGGCAGTACCATTTCCTGGTTTCTGAGCTAAGCTCCTCTGAATTATAGCATCCCTTCGTCATCGACTAGCCCTGTGGCCTTGAACAACCGTCTCACTTCCCTTCCCAGTTGGAGCCTCAACGCGCCCGTAAAACACTGGCACACCACATAGGGCACTTGTGGTGGGCAGCAGATGAAAACAATTTCAGTCGTTGGTGGGTTAAGCAGTGCACTGGCCCAGGTGCACCCAGGACTTCTCGGGCTGTCGAGCAGGGCACTCATCTCTCTCTCATTGGTTCTGTGTTCTAGGAATAGAGCTGTGCCCCCCTGGAAAACGGTTCATGATTACGATGGTGGCGAGCTTCGTGGCCATGGCGGGCCAGTTCCTCATGCCTGGGCTAGCCGCCCTGTGCCGGGATTGGCAGGTGCTGCAGGCCCTCATCATCTGCCCCTTCCTGCTCATGCTGCTCTACTGGTCGTGAGTACACTCTGCACAGCGCCCTGGGCTGGTGCGACTGCACATGCTTCCTGAAGGCCCGGCCCCGGGCAGGACACACAATCCCCACACTTCCCACTAGTTGCAGCTTGTGGTTCTGTCTGAGAAGGTTTTCCTCTCTTTTTAAAAAATTTTATTGTTTAAACTTTCTGTCTTGGAAAACTGTTCAAATATACACAAAAATAGAAGAGTGGAATGAGCCCATCACCCAGCTCCAAAAATCTGCAAATGCACTGGCCAGTCTGGCTCACCCCTTCTTGCTACCCACCCCACGGGGTTATTCTGACATGAATTTTTATGAATGGATTGCAGGGAGGTGGAGGTCTTGTGTTAGGAGGGGGGATTTGGAGATATTAAAGGAGTGATTTACAAAAGTCCCCCTATCTCTTCTAGGCGAGGGGTGGGCAACCTTCAGCCTGTGGGCCACATCAGGCCCACTGTCTGTTTTTGTAAATAAAGTTTTATTGGAACACAGCCATGCTCGTGTGTTTACATAGGTATTACCTGTGGCTGCTTTCTGGCTATTCACAGAGTTGAGTGGATGCAGCAGGTTGGTATGGTATAAAGCTGAAAATATTTACTATCTGGTCCTTTACAAAAAATAGCTTGCCCACCCCTGCTCAATATCAGTCTAATATGCCTTTTTGAACTATGGGTAACCTTAAGTCTTTTGACCTGCTAGCTTTGCCGGCAGTACGGGGGGAACACTAAACACACTGGTAAAGGGGGTTTGACCTGGGCAACTGGGTTTTTTAAAAAACTCTCCAGGGAATTTATGTTGAGTCAAGACTGGAAAACACTGCTCCACGGATAGAGAGATGTTGACCCTAAAAATGATACTTTTACCTTTTTATAAATGCTGTTTTTCATCCTTTCCCTTCCTTCCCATCCCTCTCCATGCTGATACTCTCACCTTACCCATAAGTAGATCATGGATGTGGCCCTGTATTGCTACTATTTAGTCAACAATGAAAACCAAATTTCTGGCCGTGCAGTCAGTCTTGTCCTTGCTTTAAGGGTTCACTGGAGCTGAGCTTCCTTTGCTCAGGTGCCCGGGAGGGAAGAAAGCACCTACCTTTTGGCTTAGTGGTACTGCCCCCCGCCCCTGCCCTGGTAGTAGATGTACTGCGAGGGTGCAGGTGCGGTTTCCCCGAGAGCCTGGTTCTTGCTCACTGTGTTATGAGGACCTCGGCAGCAGCAGGGGGCCAGCAATAGCAGATGGGAAAAGGCCACCTGCCAGAGAGGCCACTCAGCAGCCACCGCTGCCCGAACTGAGCTCCTCTCCTGGGGCCGCCTCCAGCTCTTGTCCCGAAGTTGGATGTCCAAACCCCTCCCGCAGCACAACCGTGTTCCAGGACAGCCCTTGTGCCCCAACAGGGCCTTAAGGAGCGGAGAATGAGCAATAGTTTCCCTGGAGAAGGATGGAGTGGGCAGCTCTCTTCCTTCTATCTCCTAAGGAAGTCTTTCTGCCCCCTCCCTTGTGGCAGCCTTCGCTGGGCTTAGCTGTTTCGGAGTTCAAGGGTGCTGATTTATCTCACAAATGCTTCTCTGTGCTTCCCACTGTACCAGGCACAGACGACAAGCACTTTGCAATAGTAAATGGTTCCACCCTCATATCTCAGCAGCCCATCCTATAGAGGACAGAACCGCGGTCCCCTGACCCCCGCTGACTCACGTCAGAGCCTGGACCTGAAGCGGCCAACTCTTGCCACACCTGGCTCCTGTCTTCCCCTGCCTGGCCCCTATTCCTTGTTTGCTCTTTAGAGATACAGTACTCCAAAGCGCCAAGTAGGCTGCCGGGCACCCTGGTACATGCAATAAATACTTGCTCATTAAAGGAAAACAAGCAACTTTCAATATTTTGCCACCAAAAGCTGGTCATGCTGGCTGGTGCTACAGCTCACCCCCTCTCCCCAGCAGGCCCCTGTCTTCCCTCAGCTTCCATCTCATGTCCCTACCCCAGCAGATTCTCTCTGCCACTTCCTCTGCTGCTGGCCTGCACCAGTGTTCTCTCCTAGGCTAGGAGAACAGGGCACAGCCTCTTGGCGACCCATACTCCTGAGAAGAGAGGTCAGACAGGGTTGTTTCCCTCACCCCAGGCTCTGCACCCACCTGTCCCAGGCAGGAGTGCACCTGACAAGGGAGAAGTGGCAGAGAAGGTCTTTCCAGAGCAACTCCAGTTATGCAGGGCTGACCCATGTGAGAAGGGCCGGGTTTTTGTTTTGTTTTTTTTTTAATTTTAGAAACATATTGAGGTTTAGTGATAGGCAAGGTAAGGCATTCATTTATTTAAAAATATTCTAAAACCTCAGGAAAATTCTTTGAAATATACAGTTTTAAAAACAAATTATACAGCTTTTGAAAAGACATCCAGGGACTTGCAGAAGTAAACGTGTGTGCATGTGTGTGCATGTATGTGTACGTGTGTGCATGTGTGTGCACGTGTGTGCATGAGGATGGCGGTCCCAAGGTGCTCTGCTTCCCGCTTACAGCTCCAGCTCTGCAGTCTGGGTAGAGCTGGCCTAGTGACTGGCTGTGCTGCCTCCAGCCTGCCTCACACCTCTCTGAGCCCGCGTTGTCTCATGTCTGTAAAAAGTGGGTCATAATAGTTCTTATTTCATGGGGTTGTTTTGAAGACTGAAATAACGCACGGAAAACATATGCATGGAGGGGCAGTCTGAAGGGAGGCTCGGACACAGAGCCTGGACCTCTGCCACTTAGTAGCTGTGTGACCCTGAGCAAGTCGCTTAATCTCTCTGTGCCTCAGGTTCACCAGCTGTGCGTCATTGTGGTCAATAATGGGGTTGGGAGGAATCAGTGAATTAATGTATGAGACATTTAGAACAGTGCCTGTCACCTAGTGCCATATGTATATTAACTGCCATGATAATCATAATTATTTACACATTTATATTACTATTAAGGTGCTTAGTACATGTCTGCTCTATAAGTACTCATGAATATTAAATATTAGTCACTGCTATTGTTATTATTGCATCCTCTTAATATATATATAGGAGTCTGGGTGTAATGGGGCAGGTTAAAAAGTGGGTGGTGAGAAATGTAAACCACCTTTGCCTACCAGCCTTGGAAGCCTCCACTAGAATTATTGGCTTTAAAAGCCAATAATTGCCTACCCTTTTTTATTGTCTTCCTCCCATCTGCTGCAGTGGGCTCTGTTGTTTGACAGGATTTGAAGTGGCCCGCTGTGGAGAGGGGGTGAGCTGTAGCACCAGCCAGCATGACCAGCTGTTGGTAGCAACATATTGAAAGTTGCTTGCTTTCCTTTAATGAGCAAGTATTTATTGCATGCACCAGGGTGCCCAGCAGCGTACTTGGTGCTTTGGAGTGCTGTATCTCTGAGGAGCAGACAGGGGAGCATGTACCTTAACAAGGACTGGAAACCAAGCTGCACGAGGCACGGTCCCCAAGGGGCGGCTTCTTGGGGTAGGGGCAGTAAAGACAAACGTGTGAGGACTGGCCAGAAGGGATCTTCTGGTCGAGATGGTAGACTGAACAGACAGGGACCCCTCCATACACACATATAAATGCTGGTTAAAATACAGCATTTTTTAGAAGTACGACACTGAGCTCCAGGGAAAGAAGGGGAAGTTCCCAGGTGTCAAACCAAGGAGGGAATCCCAGCAGGAGCAGACACAGAGGCAGCTCCCAGGGCATCTGAACCAGAGAGAAGCGTGAGGACTCTGGGTTTCAACACCTGCCCGGGGGCTAGAGCTGAGCTCCCAGGCCTCTGATGCCGTGAGAACTGAGCTCCTTCAGTCAAGCCAGGAGTCAAAACTGTCAATGGCCACAGGACTGGGAGATCTTTGCCTGCCACAGGGACTCAGCCCAGAGCTGGCGGACTGCCTTGGACCGTGGGCAGAAGAAGATTCACCCAAAGAAATTGGAGCCTTGAAGTCTGCACCACGCAGGACTGTGTGTTCCAAATTCCACCTGCTCCCTGAGGCTGAGATATCAATGTGAGAACCAGGGAAGCTCATTGGACCCCTCAGGGTCCAAAACACGGCCTCCCACAGAGGCATCCAGGACTCACACGGAAGAAAATTCTCTTTAAAGATGAGCTCACAGGCAAAGGTCACAGATCCACGGGGAATCCACTATGAGGGCCCAAACCTACAGACTGGGGAGTGTGCATCTCAGGAACTGTAGAAAATAGAAGAATCTGAAAGGGCAGTGAAGCGAGCTGGTATTTGTTAAGCAGCCACACTGCCTTATGCTGATGCTGTTGCTGGTCCAGGTATTCTAGATACATCTCCAGAGCAAGCTCCCGATCTCCTGAAAGCACATTGTGGGGCAGAGGCGGGTGGGAGCCTGAAGAACCCACACACACATGAGGAACATGCTTTTAAATAGTGCTACGTACCAAGTAGGGTGGTCAGGAGAGACCCCTCTGAGGGGCTGATGTTTGTGCTGAGGCCTAAATGTTCAGAAAGAGGAAGTCACACAAACTTCTGGGCGGAAAAGTGTTCTAGACAAAGGGGATCAGCCAAGGCAAAAGTTGGCTTCTGCTCGGCTTCTCCTGGAACCGGGAGAGGAAGGTCAGCAGGGCTGGAGCATGGTGGACAAGAGGGGACAGAAGTGACTTGGAAAGGCAGGTGGGGTCAGACCCTATGGGGTCTGAGGAGCACGGGCTTATTCTACAAAGGCATAAAGATGCACTGGAGGGTCTTAAGCAGGGGAATCCTGTGTCCCGGATTGTGCTCTGTGAGGACCCATCTGTCTGCTTCGTGGAGAAGGCGTAGAGCCGGGTGAGGGCCAGGACAGAGGCAGCGCACACACTGGGCTGTGTGACATCCTGGTGCCTGCACTGGGGAAGGCTGGGTGTCACCTGCAGAGGGCTGATTCGAGAGATGCTTTGAGAGTGGCCCTGGTGAGACTTGCTGATGGATCTGAGGTGACTCTCAAAGGTGAGAGAGGAGGCAGTGATGGCAGCTGGGTCTGTTTCCTGAGATGGGGAGGCCAGAGCTTTAAGAAACATGGAAGCTCAGGAGGGCTGGAGGCTGAAGTCCTGTCCTGCTATCCTACTGTGGTGGGTGACAGGATGAGGTGACCAGGAGACTTGACTGAGGCCGCAGCCTGTGTTAAGATGTGGGTTTTATTATTATCCAGGTATAGTGAGGTCAGCAGGCCAGGAGACAATTGCCATTGAAAGATCATTTATTACTCTCAGTTCCCAGGAGGAAGGGGTACATAGGACCACACAGGGCCTCCTGGGAAGCACTGGGGTGGGCCAGGAGGCACACAGGGAGGCAAAAACGTGGGCAGGAGCCTTTATTGCGGTTTCTGTGGGAGCAGCAGGTGAGGCAGGGTGTGCAGGATGAGTTTTGGCAGTTTGATCATTTCTGCAGCGCGTGGGCATAGGGCTGTCCCTAGGTGTCTGGAAGCTGGCCCCGGGGTGACTGGGGCAGGCGGATGGTGGCCCACGTGTGAGAGCCCGACACAGGAAGTGGTTGGGGTATCGGCTCTGGATGGGTTGGTTTGTGTGTGAAAAGTACACTTGCAGGTGAATCTTTTACTCTGTCTAGGAATTAGCGAACCCTGGGAGGAGCAGCCTCTCTGGAATCAGCAAGGCTCCAGATGTTAAAACATTAGGAAATACAGAAAATACAAAGGCTTGGTTAATAGGCAGCAGCCGCAGGGTTGCAGAGTTCTGGAATGAAGTGACCCCCAGGGTGGAGACGCTGGCCAGGAAAAGGTGGCAGCAGCATGATGCACCCAGAGACTGGACAGGGACTTGGCAGGGGGTGCAGTGAGCACAGGAGTCTCTGGTGATGCAAGGAAGATGGGACACATGAATGATTTATGCTCCAGCAAGTGGAGCCAAGATAGGCGAGCGATGTCATTGCACGAGCTGCCTGGGGATGCTTATAATATGTTGAGCCTTCTGGGCCATGGCAGGATCGGCTGGGCTTTAGGTGAAGGAAGAGCTGCGGCAGCTGGTGGCCAGAGAATGGGAGGGTGCGCTCGCCTGGTCCTCTCGTGTGGTTTGCAGAGTCAAACTTGAGCACTTAGTTGTGAAGCAGGAGCGGCAGAAGAAAGAGCCCTTGTGAGTGTTTTTCACCTGAAAGTAGACGCCGTCAAAGCGCTGGGTGATTGCACTGATGGACGCAGATGCCTGAAGAGAAATGCATCTTTAGTCATTTTGCTCAGGCATTGATTGTCACTCGGTAAAGAGCAGCAGGGATTTAGCGCTCATCTAGAAGGAAGTCATACCGACTGATCCTTCTTCCAGAAGAAACATGAAATCCTTCCAGGGTCACAGCCAACAACGAGGGGTTGGCGGGGAAGATGCAAGATCCAAACCACAAGAAGAAGGGAGTATCTAGGAGCATCTAGGAGGAATTCTGCTTAGATGCGCTAGGAAGATAGGTGGCAGGAGGTGCCAGAATGGAAGAGGGAGCTGGGTGCAAGAGCTGCTGCTCTGAAATTGTGCACACTGCGGAAAGGTGCCCCTTCCAGGTGGCCACAGCCTGCACTGGGCACATGGCTTAATGACAGAGCTCCTTCCTCAGCTGGGAGCCCTTGTGCAAGACACAGCCTGGTCTTGTGTTTGGAGGTCCAGGTCTACGTTACGTTAGAACATCCTAGAAAACCGCAGCATGGAAGATCAGGAAGGTAATACGTGGGACAGGGTGACATCAAGTTTCCTGCGCGGGAATTCACTATTGAGGAATGACAAGGGAGGGAGAAGGCTGTTGGAGAGGCTGCCATGTGGTGTTTATCTCAAGTGGCTTGGAAGAAGTCACAGGGAGTAAGGACTTCTGGAGATAGTGGAGATGTGAGCGCCACTCTCCCAAAACGTTGGTGCATGCCATCACCATTCCTCATCAGGTAAATTAAGGGTACTGAGTACACATGATCATTGATAACACAAAATTTGCAGCTGGGCATGGTGGCGCATGGCTGAGGCAGGAAGATCACGTGAGCACAGCAGTTCAAGATAAGCCTGGGCAACAAAGGGAGACCCCATCTCTACCAAAAATTTAAAAAATTAGCCACACATGGGAGCACGTGTCTGTATCCCAGCTACTGAGGAGGCTGAGGTGAGAGGATCACTTGAGCTCAGGAGTTCAAGGCTGCAGTGAACTATGATTGCACCACTTCACGGCAGCCTGGGTGACAGAGCAAGACCCTATCTCTTAAAAAACAACGTGCTCGTCTGCTCTAAGAGTAGGTGCAGAATTTTGATGCTAGTTCGACAAGCTCCCCAGTGAGGGCTCTCAGCCCAACATGTGAGTGCTTAAATGTTTTCTAGGGGTGGAGGTGTCATCGTAAGCAAGGCAGACAGTCCCGCCCTCATGGAACGGTGGGGCAAAGAAAGAAAACATTGCACTTGGACATCTTATGCCTCCCTGGTGGCAGACACATGGACTGTGACATTTGCTGATTGTGTCTTCACATTTTAGAAATGTGCTTTTCTTCACATCAGCTGCACGCTTCTTACGTGTGAAAACATATTAACCATAGTACTCTCGAATTCCTTAGCTCTTCCTGGATCCAAGGAACCAGAGGTTGGTGGAGTTGGTGGATTTATTCCTATTTGTAGGTGGGGGAACCAATAAATGAAAAAACCTTCACCAAATCACTCACAAATGTGGGAAAAGCATTCAAAACAGGTTTTCAAATGTCAGTGGTTCTCAAAGTGCAGTCCCTGGGCCAGCAGCATCAGCATCACTTGGGAACTTGCTAGAAATACGGATCTCAGGCCCAGCCCCCGCCCCAGGCCTGCTGAATAAAAACGCCTGTGGTGGGCCTGGCAGCGTGTGTTTTAAGAAGGCCTCCTGAGACGCCGCTGAGCCCTGCTGTTTGGGAAGCACACAGAGGACCTAACATACTTTGAAAAAGGATGATAAGAAGTTGCAAAAGAAGATCCTGTGAGTCAGCTGCATTGGACACACACTTTTCTTTTCTTTTCTTTTCTTTTTTTTTTTGAGACGGATTCTCACTCTGTCGCCCAGGCTGGAGTGCAGTGGCGTGATCTCAGCTCACTGCAAGCTCTGCCTCCTGGGTTCACGCCATTCTCCTGCCTCAGCCTCCTAAGTAGCTGGGACTACAGGTGCCCACCACCACGCCTGGCTAATTTTTTGTATTTTTAGGAGAGACGGGGTTTCACCATGTTAGCCAGGATGGTCTGGATCTCTGACCTAGTGATCCGCCTGCCTCGGCCTCCCAAAGTGCTGGGATTATATGTGTGAGCCACCATGCCCAGCCGAACACACACTTTTCTTACATGAAATAGGGTTCGAGACTGTGTAGTGAAATGAAACAGATGCCATCCTCGAAGGGCCTGTGAGATCTGATGGTCCTGTCCAGTTCCACGATGTGAACAGATAGCTTGACCATCTCGGACAGCAGAAGTCATCAGTATTCCTGGAAGCGATGAAAGCAAGTAAAACAAACTTGGTCCTGGCTCTACGCATTTCCTCTGTGCTGTGGGGACACGCACGCATTTGTGGAGTCTTCAGTCACGGCAGTGTTCCAGGTTCACGAGAAGGGAAGGCTTCCCCAGCCTGCTCCCCCGACCTCCCTGCAGGCACAGATGGGGCATCTTGCTGGCAAAGTGCTTTCCACACCCAATTCCATCCCTCCAACCCTGCAGGAAGTGAGTGTGTGCAGTTTTTTTTTTTGCACTTTTCCCCAAGACTTTTAATCAGGTGCACACCTAGTAGAAAAATATTCTCACCTCGAGCCCACCTAATGTGTGTGTTTTGCATGAAACGCCTAGAGATAGAAACGCAAAAGGCTGAATGTGTGAAGCTGGTGAATTAGAGGAAAGATCTGCTGGCAATCAGCATGATCATCAAAAGCATCTGGGAAAGCAATAAGACGATAATAAGCAGTATGGGAAATAAGGAGGAAATTAGAGAAGGATCACGCTGCACTGCATAACACTGGAGAGTAAGGAACAGAACCGATTCCCCACATGAGGAGGTAAACCCTAGCGCGGAGGACGTGAGATTGTGCTGCCGTAAAGGACACTGGCCCGGAGAAGACACTCCAGAGGCTGGCCGTGCAGAAACCCTTAGAAAAAAACAGACATGCTACAAGGAGTTTTATTTTTTTTAATTTCAAGAAGAAAGCTATTATAAAACATTTAAATGGCCTCAGGTTAAATAAATGCCTCATTTAAAAAAAAATTCCAATATGTAAATAGCCCTAATTTTTTGGCTCTTTAAAATATCATTAAAAATATTTTGGTCAGAGTAATACTGATTTTTAGCATCTCTTGAGGGTTTGTTTCTTAAACCCTGCTAAGCACTTTACATAACTTAGCTCCCTAAATCTTCCTGAAGACCCTGTGAGGTAGATACCGGGACGGCCTCCAGTGCAGATGAGGAAACTGAGGCACAGAGAGATGCGGTGTTGCTGACGCCCCATGGCTAGTAAGTGGGGCTGGGGTCTGGATTCCAGCAGGTGGACTCCAGAGCCACAGGGACTACCACCTCCTGCTCAGCCCAGTCATACATAATGAGCCCGGGGTTCTGTGGCCCAGGGACCTGGAATGCCGGGCAAGCGGAGGGCCCTGGGCTGCTGAGAGCAGCATTTACTTGGCAGAGCTACACTTCTGTCCTGGGAGGAATCCTCCATGCCCTCTTTTTTATGTAAGTACATTGTTTAACATTGACAAAAACAGTTCTTAAAATTATTGGGGTATCAGTACCTGCCCTGATAAGGGCTCAATAAAAATGGGTTAAGCTGATCAATTAAGTTTTCTTCTTGTTATCGTTGAAATGACTTTTAAAAGACCATTTAAGAATTTTTTTTGAGACAGAGTTCTGCTCTTATTGCGCAGGCTGGAGTGCAATGGCACAATCTCGGCTCACTACAACCTCCACCTCTTGGGTTCAAGCAATTCTCCTGCCTCAGCCTCCCCTGTAGCTGGGATTACAGGCATGCGCCACCATGCCCAGCTAATTCTGTAGAGACAGAGTTCTTCAGCAGAGACAGGGTTTCTCCATGTTTGTCAGGCTGGTCTCGAATCCCAGCCTCAGGTGATCCACCCACCTTGGCCTCCCAAAATGCTGGGATTACAAGCATGAGCCACCGCGCCCGGCCAAGAATTTTTATACATACATAATCCAGCAGGTATCAGCCTTTTTTCCTGCCCAAACACAAGAAAGAACAACTTGACAGACACAACAACTTCCTCTATTAAAACCAGTTTTATTCCAAAAGGGGGGCAAAATGCTGCATTATACAAAGAGACTCTATTACAGATAAAATAAGTGCTGTGGGTTCCCTACATGAGAGGAGGGAAACTGAATTCAGTTACAGCAACAATTAAGCATGCGGGAAAATGCTCTCCTCAAAGGAAAACGGAAGAGGTGCGTCATGAAAACCATGCAGTCTCCGGGAGCTTGAATCAATAGGCAATAATTATTTTTACAAGTTATCCAATAATCAATTTGAGAGATCAATAGGAAACATAAAAAAAATTTCTTGGTCAAATCTTTTCTGCCTACAAACTATCTAGATGGGAGATAGATGAGGTAATACTGACAAAAGGCAGATGTGGAAATAAAATGGTCACCCATATTTCAGTCATAAAAATGGAGCAATTAAAAGTGAGATTCAAATGTTTTCTGTAAGTGGGTATTCTGGGATTTGCTGATGGCATGGAAGTTTAGGGAGCCCTCAGACAACACTCCACAGAGATTGTGTAAGACAATAGGAACCTCTGCGTCAACACAAATGCCTGCAAGGAGAAGCGGAGAGACTCCTGCAAGGGGGAAGTGAGCACTGAGCCTCTGCTCTGGAGGCCAGTGTGGCTGTCCCGGGGGCCAGCCTTCGCCCTTCCTGTCCTCATGCTAAGATGTGCCCCAAGAGTCCATCTCACCACCCTGCTCCCACCGGGAAGCTGGGGTTGCTCCAGGCCAGTTTGAGATGCACTGCAGCTTTCAAACAGGCAGAGCGCAGGCAGCATGCATCTGTGTGTGCATGTGTGCACATGTACAGATGTGCACGTGTGTGCACTTTGTGGGGTGGTGGGCTGGGCTGTTGGCAACCGACAGAGACCAAGTGAGTGGGCCTCTGGTGACAGGTGTCCGGGGTCAGTTGCTAGGGTGTTGCCATTGCTGGCGTCTGGCAAACATCCACATGGTGGTTGGAATGAGGACAAGGGGACCCAGCCGCCCATCTGCTTGGCCCTAGGGACTCTGGCAGACCACATGGCCAGTACTAAAGAGTGGCAGTCCTGAGTGCGACCGGGACAGCCTCACTCAGCCATCAGAATTGGCTAAGGTGTCGCGACTTGTTTCATTAGGAGGTGAGTAGGAGGTGAGGCTGCTATCATAGAGGTGTGGATAAAATTCTGCTCAGGAGCAGAAGCGACAGAGTGCCCTTGTTCCTCTGCCTACTTACCTCCTCACACTGTTTTACAACATCAGACTTTTTAAAAGTCATTTGCCAAATTAATCCCCCTACCACGTTGTATTTCGAAGGCTCTGTGTGCCTTATATTTTCTGCAGCCTGATAATTGCTTCTACGGATAAATGAGTGAAAGGTGCAGACAGAGGGAGAAGGTTAACCCAGCCACATGGAAGGTTATAGATTGTAGGTGAACCTGCAACTGGACTCCAAGTATTCATCCGCTTATAATATGAATTAAGGGATGTTTTAAATGTATGCCAATTGTTATACATTTGGAGTTGGTTAATCATGAAAAGTCTGACTCCAAAGTTGTCTTAGGCACTGACTTCATTTGGTCTGGCAAAAACTTAAAGCAGCATAAGCTCATTTATTCAGTGCGTTGTCAGGAGCAGCATCTTCTTCACCTTCCGGAAGGAGGCAACAGTGAGCGTTAGCCCTGAGTCTAGATGGAGAGTGTTGAAGCCAGGCAAGACCTTGGTGCCGTTCCACAACCCGGTCTACAGATGTGGGGAAACTGAGGCCCAAAGGAATAAGGTGACTTGCCCAGGGCTACAAAATTGGCACACAAACCCAGGGCTCCCAAGAGATTTCCACCATAATTTTTCTAGAGCAGAATTTTGGAGCCTCAGTGTATATCACTTTGAAAGACAAAAGAGACACAAGGTTCTGAGCTTTTGTAACAGATAAATTAGCAGCATAGTCATTTAAATTATGAATGCACTTTTTCTCCCAAGAGATTTTCAAGGAATTCATTTGCCTTAGGAAAACCTTGGGGTCTAACCATCCTCAGAGCCAATCTTTATTCGATTTCATGATACTCATCCCATCTCTCTACAGTCTGAAGTTTAATGAAAGCCACCTTATTGTTTTAATACCAAACAGAACTAACGTTTAAAAAATCCAAGTGGAAGATTATGTACAGAATCCAAGCTTATATTTTGTGCAAAAGTTTTGAGCCAGAAACTAAAGATACTCCCCAAACTGGTACTTAATTCAACTTTAGCCTTTATTATTTTTTTAGAATCTCTTCAGAATCTCATAATACTCTGATACGTGGCAACACCCCAAAGCGTCAGTGGCTAGAATCACCCCTTTAGATCAGAAGCACCCTCACTGCAGCCTACAGCCCTTCTCACATCACTTTCAGGGAAACCTTATCTCCACGATGCCTTTTGAGATTCTCCTCCCTCCCCCAGTCCCTGCTCTGTGTCCCCCACTCTTTGATGGGAAGGCCTATTTGATAGAAGCTCCTCATTTATTAGGCATTTATTAATTTACACGTTTTTGCCCCAACTAGACAGTGAGCTCCTTGGGGCCCAGACACTGTGTGTGTTTCATCTCCAGGCCAGCCCGTCCACAGCAGGTGGATGGTGCCCAGTGCATGTTTAGCCCGTGAATGGCGTCACGTGGAACCACAGACAGGAAGGCACACCTGTCTGCACAGGTATCGCCCTGCAACTAAATATTTCGAAAAACAAATAAAGGAATGACTTGAGGGTAAAATTAATTTAATAAGCATGGGCAGTTCATCTTATTTCCTTCCTGTATTTTCTTTATGAGTAAATGTGCTAGTACAGTACGTTAAAGAGGGTAGACGTGCGTCTCATACAGTTGCCAAGCTGGCATTTCTTCACAGCAGGTGTTAAGTGAATTGGCAGGAAGGCAGCCAACATAGTACACTTGTCTATGTCAGTCTCCAACTGGATAGAGGAATAATTTATTTTATTTTTAGATGTCAAGGAAAAATGATCAACCTCGTAGGGTTTCACAGTATTGAGTTTTAATTACAGATTCTACTGAGCAATTACTCAGGTTACAGGGACTAAGATGTAAAACAGATCCATGAAATGTAAATCAGACGGGCTTGAGACTTAGCCAAATCCCCACTCCAGAAAAGAGGACAGAGATGGGAATGTGGACCACAAGCAACACACCACTGTTAAATCATCAGTTACCCTGCGGTGCATCAGGTGCTCCCTGGGAGACAGGGTGCTCGAGTGGGAGACAGGGTGCTTGAGTGGGAGACAGGGTGCTCGAGTGGGAGACAGGGTGCTCGAGTGGGAGACAGGGTGCTCCCTGGGAGACAGGGTGCTCGAGTGGGAGGCAGGGTGCTTGAGTGGGAGACAGGGTGCTCCCTGGGAGACAGGGTGCTCCAGTGGGAGACAGGGTGCTCCCTGGGAGACAGGGTGCTCCAGTGGGAGACAGGGTGCTCCCGCTTGAACTGCGTGCTGACACTCAGCTTTGAGGAGTGACAATGTGATGGTATTAAGAAAACACAGAGAAATTTTCCTGCCTTGATACAGTAACATTGTGTACATGATACCACTGGGGAAAAGTTCCACATAAATACATTTTCCATAGAAATCTCTAAGAACCAGCTCTTCTGCCTAGCTAATTTGGGTGGGACTCTTTGTAGAATACATTTTTCCTGCTGTAGAAGCAATACTGCAATCATGGTGTGATGTAGGAAAACTCCACAGGTTTAGGGGCCTTAAGTCCCAGGTTCCAGGCCTGCCTCTGCCATTCATGAAGCCCCAGGCAGGGTATTAGCATGGCCAGGCCTAGGTCACCTGCTGTGCAGTGAGGGGCTGGGTTAAGTGCAATCCGGAGATGCCCTTCTGACTGTAGTTCCGTTTTGTAATGTTGCCTGTCCCTGGTGAGTGATTGGAGAGCCATCCCTGTGGCAGCAGGTACTTCTGTGTGACCGTGGTGTAACCCTTCAGAAGCATGTGTGTGTGAAGCTCCTGTACCACCAAGGAGGCTGGAACGCCTGTGTGCAGCTGGCCCGCTGCCTCCTGCCACCTGCTCGTCAGCCCACAGTCCTTATTATGGTCAGGTGCCACCTGCTCGTCAGCCCACAGTCCTTATTATGGTCAGGTGCCACCTGCTTGTCAGCCCACAGTCCTTATTACGGTCAGGTGCCACCCTGCTCTGAGGCCTCTGCCCAGCGTTAGTGGCCTGGGGCTTTCTCAGCTAGGATTCAGTTGTCTGAAGACCCTGGGCGCGCCTCTGTGAAGCAAGTCTGTGTTTTCAGTGAGTGGACTGAGTTACCTCTGCATTTAATTAGAGACCCCTTTTACTTAATTTCGAATTCTTGGCTCTTTTCATGTTTATTTTGATTTTCATTTTGAGACAGGGTCTCACTCTGTTGCCCAGGCTAGAGTGCAGCGGCACGACCTTGGTCCACTGCAAACCTCCCGGGTTCAAGCGATTCTCCTGTCTCAGCCTCCTGAATAGCTGGGATTATAGGCAGCCGCCACCATGCTTGGCTAATTTTTGCGTTTTTAGTAGAGATGGGGGTTTCACCATGTTGGACAGGCTGGTCTCAAACTCCTGACCTCAAATGATCCACCCACCTCAGCCTCCCAAAGCGCCCAGCCCTCGGCTCTTTTTAAGATTAATTGAAGCCATGGGGTTAGGGACCTGCCGATCCACACTGTGGGTTGTTGGGGTTTTTTGGTTGGTTTGTTTGTTTGTTTTTTGAGACAGAGTCTCGCTCTGTCGCCCAGGCTGGAGTGCAGTGGCACAATCTCGGCTCACTGCAACCTCTGCCTCCCAGGTTCAAGTGATTCTCCTGCCTTAGACTCCTGAGTAGCTGGGATTACAGGCCTGCGCCACCATGCTTGGCTAATTTCTGTATTTTTAGTAGAGACGGGGTTTCACCATGTTGGTCAGGCTGGTCTTGAACTCCTTACCTCATGATCCACCCACCTCGACCTCCCAAAGTACTGGGATTACAGGTGTGAGCCACCACACCCGGCCCATGCTGTGGTTTTATGTTAGGTTTTATGTCCCAAGTACATGCTGGAAAATGGCATGGTTCACGTTTTTGTGAGGTTTGATCAACCCTGAGTTAGTGCCCTCCCCTCACAAGTAGGAATTAATGTGCTTTTATTCAAGACCTCAGGAGAAGAGCCACTGTCCACACCTGGGGGAACTGTCTCTGAGCACCAGGTGGGCAAATGTGTGCCAATCTAAAAGGAAGGGAATGTTTAGAGTGAGACTGGCATTTTTCACTGTGATGTGGGGGCAGTGTGTCATAGCAGAGGCGGCACCTGGAGATGCAGGTGCGTGTCAGCGCCCTGAATACGATTTGGAAGGACATGTGCCCACCCAGGGAGGGCTTAGCCCTGGAGGACGGGAGGGTGAGTGCAGGGGCACTGGGATTGGGGTGAGCGGTATGGGGGGGCTTTCGTCTTCTCTGTAATATTTTCTTTTAATTGTGGTAAAATACACGTAACATAAAATTTTCCACTGTAACCATTTTAAATTGTACAACTCAGTGACCACATCCACAACGCGATGTTGTGCAGCCATCTCCACCATCCATTTCTAGAATTTTTTCACCTTCCTCTATCCCAGGTCCTGGCAGCCCCCACTCTACTTGCTATGAATTTGACTCCTCTAGTGCCTGATGTGAGTGGAATGTCAAGGTGTTCCTCCCTCGGCAGCTGGCTTATTGCACAGAGTACGGTGTCCTCTAGGTTCTCCCATGCTGTAGCAGGTGTCAGATCCCTTCTGTTGAAGGCCAAATCATATTCCATTGTACAAATGGACCACATTTTGTTATCCATTCATCCATTGATGGAATCTGTAATATTTTAGTTTTTTAAGTAGAGAATGGGTTTATCTGTGCTTTGCTTAATTAATTCCATAGCCAAACCCGACCCTGGAATCCTCCACTGTAACTCACCGACAGTCACCGCTTCCAGCTGCTGTGGACAGTGTCACACCGGGGGCTGTCCCAGCAGGTGCTCAGCATGCACCTACCGTGGTGTGGTTCCTGAGCAGCTCTCGCTGATCCGAGATACGTCCATATTGGACGCCAGCAGGGCCTGGGCCTCAGTCTGCCGTCCAGCATATGACTATCCTGCAGTGGAACATCCGCAGGGCTCCGTGAGGAGGGACAAGTGAAGGCTAAAGGCACTGGTATCCCAGTTGGGTTCTGCCTGCATTGAGTTCAGGCCAGTTCAGGTATTATGGCCAGAATGCTTTGGGGGTTCCAGAATCATGAATGAAGATTGTGGACCTTCTAACCATCCTGAAGGGGTTTCTGAAAAGGGCTTGAGTCCAATCTGTCATTCACCTTCAGACGAGACCTCCACTAGATGTGTCATCAGGAGGAAAGAGCCCTCTCCACAGTCCCCAAGTTCTGCTGGAATGTGGGGGGTCAGAGCGTCGAGATGAACTGAGACCCGGAGCCAGTGAGGACACCTGCCTGGACATGCCACTGAGAGTGCAGGTTTTGTGCCTACCCTCAGCTTGTCAGTAACCAAGTGCCACCTGTGCATGTCGTAGCGCTGCCGTATGCCGTCTGCTCAGCATGTTCATGGCCCATCAGCAAACATCTGCTCTAAAATCCTCCAAGTTGGCAAGCATCCTACTTACCCTAGAGGAGGAATCCTTGTGCCCCTCCATTGCTGTATCCATACCGCGCTGCAGACGCTGACGCCTGCTTGGTGGGAAGGCAGCTATCTGCCTCCCTCTACCCCTGGGGCACTGCAGACACACACAGCCTGGCAGCACCTCTGCCTGCTCCTTCCTGGTCCTGGGTGACCTCAGCTTGAACATTCTGCTCTAGACAGCGTCCTTGTCCTGAACGGCTCTTTAGAAGCAAAGAGAAAAATACTCTCCACTCTGTATCCAGCAGGGCTCTCTGTCCTCTGCTTCTCTCCCCCCACCTGGGGTTTAGGTCTTGGAGGGTGAGTGGAGACTTGTAGTTCTGCCCACGTCCTTCCCACAGAAGCCCTGGGGATCAGTGAGCCAGCCAGCTTAGAGCAATCACTTGTTAGGTGTGAAGGCTGGGCTCCTTTAGGTCTTCCCAGCCTGACAGTCTCTCCAGTCAGCCTGTCTGGGTTTAAATCCCAGCTCTGCCATTGAATAGCTGTGTAATCCTGGGCAATGTATTTGAACGTTCTTTGCCTGAGTTTTCCCATCTGTAAAATGGGGATAATGATAGTACCACCACATAGTAAAGAATTAAATACTTACAGCTTTAGAAACTTCCTGTTCCACATCTGTGGTTTCAAGCAAGCCCTTTGCTGCATGAACCAAATTATTTTTCCCTTACCTGGGTGATAGAGTTTGCACATGAGTCCCTTCCAAATCACATGTTGAAATGTGACCCCCGGTGTTGGAGGTAGGGCCTGGTGGGAGGTGTTTGGGTCACGGGGGTGGACCCCTTGGGCTTGGTACGCTCCCCACGGTAATGAGTGAGCTCTCTCTATTAGGCCATTCAAGGGCTGGTTGTTTGAAAGAGCCTGTCACCTCCCCCTTCTATTGCCCCTTTTCTCACCCCGTGACATGCCAGCTCCCCTTGCCCTCCACCATGAGTAAAAGCTTCCTGAGGCCTCACCAGAAGGAGAGCAGATGTTGGTGCCATGCTTCCTGTATAGCCTGCAGAACTGTGAGCCAAATAAACCTCTTTTCTTCATAAATGACCCAGCCTCCAGAGCCTCCAGTGTTCCTTTATAGCAACACAGACAGACTAAGATAATGGGACTCCTCCAGTTTGCACCTCTCCTCTTGCACTGCCATCCTGGCCACAGCCACTCTGAGAGCCAACTTCAAGGCTTTCTCCCAGGGAAGCTGCTGTGGTTTTAATGCCTAGTTGTGTTTTACGGTTGCAGAAGTCATCCTCAAGGTCGCTTTTTGGCCGTCTACATGTGAGGATGCACCAGACAGATGAAGCTCCAGCTACCCACCGTGCTTCCTGATTTTTTGTTGAAAGTCATCAATTTCTCTGAGGCTCAGCTCTATTCCTCCCAAGTCCTGGGCCCTTGGCTGGCTTTTTAATTTGTGTGGCGTTATTACGTTATGTACTTGTCAGCAGAGATTTCATTAAGTTCCCATAATATGGCCACGCTGCACATTATCCAAACTAAAACAACCATCTCTGGGCTTGTTCAGAGGCTGACAGGCCAACGAATTCTTCATGATTTTGCAGCAAATTTAAATTCACGGAGCGCGTCATAAAACTTAAGTATTCCCTACACATACCCTTTGGGCTTGTGGCATTCCGCAATGCCTGAGGAAGCATCTCTGGAACACTGCTTCCCAACTTCAGTCACCGGAGTGCCGTCCAGGCAATATGGGTTTGCTGCTGTGCTGTGTCCACAGAGGTTAAGGGTGTGGGCTATCTCATCAGACTGCCTGGGTTCAGATCCCAGCTCTGCCATTAAATAGCTGTGTAATCCTGGGCAATGTACTTGAACTCTCTTGGCCTGAATTTTGCTATCTGTAAGATGGGGTTAATTATAGCGCCACTATATCATGGACTTGCAAGCATCACACACGGGGGACACTGGTGGGACAGTGTCTGTTGGTTGTAAATCCCGTCATGGGGAAGGTGGTGAGCAGTGCTACCCCCCAGTGGAGATGGTCATGTAGCTAAGGGGAGCCTGTCCCTTGTCTCGCGCCCAGATCTCCTGGGGAGTGCTGTCTTTACTTCAGTTCACTCCAGTCCCGTGGCTGCTGCTCATCAGAGCCCATAACACTCAGGATCTTCCACTCCCTGGGCCCTGCATCCCTCTCCTCTCCCTGCGTCTTCTCACCTCATTCCCAGCATTCGGGTTTATCAGCTTGCAGCTCTCTGAACACAACAAATGCACCGTCCCACAACCCCATGCCTTACCTCTGGGTCCTGCCCCACACACCTCCAGCAGTACGAGGGGATACAGGGCCTGCCCTGCAGCTGCTCATCTTCCAAGACGGTCCAAGCAGAGCCCGGCCTCTCCAGAGCCTCCCCTGACCAGCCCCTGGACCACCTGCCTGGGACTGCCCCCACTACAACCCACGCCATGCGGGCTTCTATCCAACTCGCTCAGTGGATTTGAGTGAGTAGTGACAAATCCATTTCAGATGGATTTGTAGTGACAATGCTCAGTATGTATTAGAAAAAAACAATTTGGAGACCCATCGAAAGCTTGGGCTCCCAAAGAGGCCCATACCCACTTCTTAAATCCTAAGGTCACACCACGCCTTTGTAAACAGTAATATCCTTGAAATCTTTTCTATGAGCTTTGCAATTCTCAGAGACTCTCTAGAAGGGGACTTGCTCATCATCACTTCTCATAAAGACATTTATTGGTTGTTGTCAGTTTTTAGGTATCCAAAGTGTGTTGCCTTTAGACCCAATTGGAGGATGACAAAGATGAGGGAGTGATCACTGAGGAGCAGGCAGAGTCTCAGAGCCCTGTCTGCCCTTGCACCACTGGGCTGCACACACACCCTCCTGCCTCAGGCTCTGGTCTGTGCCTGTGGCTTTGAAGTCTGGGACAAGGAGAGACTTTTCTCCTGAAGGGCAAGGGCTCCGTGGGCCCAGATAAGAAAGGGGAACAGCAGAATTGAATCCTCTCTGGGATCCAATGCCTGGACTGATGGAATTCCAGTAGCACCAATGTCTGCCTGGTATGCATAATGCAGGGCTTTATCTTTGTAACAGCATTTGTTAAATTAACACATCAGAATTGTACATATTTATGGGGTACATAGTGATGTTGTGCTACATTAAATGTATAGTGGTCACATAATAGCATGCAGCATATCCATTCTCTCAAACGTTTATCATTTCTTTGTGTTGGGAACATTCGATATTTGAAACTATATGATATATTATTAACTAGAGTCATCCTACAGTGCTCCAGAACACTAGAACATATTCCTCCTATCTCTTGTAATTTTGTATCCTTTAATCAATCTCTCCCTATTTCTCCCTTCCCCCTACCCTTCCTAGCCTCTAATATCCTCTGTTCTACTTTTCACTTCTATGAGATCATCTTTTTTTGAGCTTCCACATGAGTGAGAACATGCAGTGCTTAATTTTCTGTACCTGGCTTATTTCTCGTAACATAATGTCTTTCAGTTCCATCCATGATGCCACAAATGACAGGATTTCATTCTTTTTTACAGCTGAATAGTATTCCATTGTGTATATATACCACATTTTCTTTTTCCAGTCATCTGTGTTAGACACCTAGGTTGATCCCATATCTTAGCTTTTGCAAATAATGCTGCAATAAACTCAGGATGCAGATGTCTCTTTGACTGTTTTCCTTTCCTTTGGATAAACACCAGTAGTGGGATTGCTGGGTCATGAGGTAATTCTGTTTGTAGTTTTTTGAGGAACCTCTGTACTGTTCTCCATAGTTGATGTACTAGTTTACATTCCCACCAACATCATATAAGAGTTCCCTTTCTCCACATCCTTGCCAGCATTTTTGTGTGTGTGTCTTTTTGATAATAGCCATCCTAACTGAGGTGAGTTGATACCTCATTGTGGTTTTGATTTGTGTTTTCTGATGATTAGTGATGTTGAGCTTTTTTTAATATATGTTTGTTGGCCATTTGTGTCTTTTAAGAAATGTCTATTCAGATTATTGTCCATTTTAAAAATCAGGTTGTTTCTTTTTTTGCTGTTGAGGTGTTTGAGTTCCTCATATATTCTAGATGTTAATCCCCTGTCAGATGAATAGTTTGCAAAGACTTTCTCTCATTCTGTAGGTTGTCTTTTCAGTCTGTTGATTGTTTCCTTTGCTGTGCAGAAGGTTTTAGTTTCTCCAGGATCAGCTGTATGGTAGAACACAAAACAAGTCTCAAAAAATTTTTAAAAATCAAAATCATACCAAGTATCCTATCTGACCATAATGGACTAAAACTAGAAATCAGATAACAAGAGGAACATTCAAAACGTACAAATACATGGAAATTGAACAACATACTCATGAACAACCAATGGGTGAAGGAAGAAATTAAGAAGGAAACTAAAAAATTTCTTCATACAAATGAAAATAGAAACACAATATATTAAAACCTATGGGACACAGCAAAAGCAGTATTAACAGGCAAGTTTATAGCAACAAATGCCTACATCAAAAAACTAGAGCGATTTCATATAAACAACCCAATGATGTATTTCAAGATACTAGAAAAGCAAGAACAAGCCAAACTTAAAAGTAGTAGAAGGAAAGAAATAATAAAGATCAAAGCAATCATACATGAAATTGAGACTAACAAAACCATAGAGAAGATCAATGAAACAAAAAGTTGGTTTTTTGAAAAGATTTTAAAAATTCATAAACCATTAGGTAGACTAAGAAAAAGACAGAGAAGACCCAAATAAATAAAATCAGAAACAAAAAAAGACATCACAACAGATGCCACAGAAATACAAAGAATCATCAGAGACTACTATGAATACCTATATGCCAATAAATTCAAAAACCTAAAGGAAATGGATAAATTCCTGACACATACAACCTACCATGATTGAGCCAAGAGGAAATAGAAAGGCTGAACAGACCAATAACAAGTAATGAGATTGAATCAGTCATAAAAAGTCTTCCAAAAAAGAAAAGTCCAGGACCAGAGGGCTTCACTGCTGAATTCTACTGAAACTTTAAAAATGTAATACCAACTTTTTTCAAACTATTCCCCAAAAAAACGAAACAGAAGGAATTCTTCCAACTCGTTTTACAAGGGCTTTATCTTGAAGGCAAAATGGCACCACTCAAATGTCCATACTCAAATATGCCGCATTTTGGATTTTCCCTGGGCTGTCACCTCCTATCCTGGCTTCAAAACTGTGTATAGTGAGCACATCTCCGCGGTTCTCCCCACCCTGTGGGTAACACTTGAGGATAAATCAAGGAACAGGACTTGAGATTGCTGGGGCAATGAAAAAGTTATGTCCTCTTGTGGAAGCTCTGCCCTGCTCGTTCACACCACCTGCGCCCTCAGCCCTGGGCAGTGGCCCTTGGGGTACGTGGCCCTAGGGGTTGGAAGGTGGGGCTGCAGCTCCTCCTCTGCTGGGTCATCTGGGCCTTGTTCTTCATTTATGGTCTTGATTTTCAAAATCCATTTCCTGCCATGGAGTTCCGTAAGCGTTTGATATAAATAAATTTTAATTATTTTGAAAGGACACAAATTTCCACGTTGTATGCCGTATTTCAAAACTGTAGAGACTACCTGCGAAATCGCTTGCGCTGTCATATTACCGTATTTATATATATTCATATATTGTTTCTTAGATAAGCAAAAATTCTCATAGAAATCACAAAATATTTAGAATCAAATCACAAATGTATCTCAAATGATAATATCTAGATGAATTTTGAAGTCTTAAGTACACTTATGAGAAAATTAATAATAATGACCTCTATGTCTATCCTGAGAAATTAGAAAAAGATACTAAACCCAAACGCATCAGAAAGATGGAAATACTATAGATCAGAACTTAAACTATGGGGGGTGGCATTTGTGTTAGGTTGTTTTATTATAAAGAAAAGATCTGATTTTTAAAATACAGCAAAATGTGAATATATATAATATTAATGTCATGTATCTGTTTCTATTTCCTTGGATTATGTTATTCAAAATTAATTTTGTATAGCTAGAGGCCAGGAAAACAAACATTAACTTTGAGTATTTAAAAAAAATCAGTGCCTGCAAATGTATTTGGGACTTCCATGTGAGATGACCAGAGACCTTCTGTCCATTCCACACGGCCCTCCTGCATTCCACACACCTGCTCAGCAGGACAGCTTTTAGCTCTTCAAGAAGCTCCCAAGTCTTCCAGAGTGAGTTATCATTCAGATCAGACCATCCCAAAGGTACCACCGAATTCAGTGGGAACAACTTCATCATGTAAAACACAGTCACAAGCAAATAGAAATTTGGACTTTTTTCAAATAGGTATGAAGGAGGCAGTAATTATTAGATATCGATAGTGATGTGACTTTGAAATAAAAATTTTCTGCTTCTCACAGTCTGTTCCTGCTGCTACAACAAAATACCTTACCCTGGATGATTTATAAACAACAGAAATTTATTGCTCACAGTTCTGGAGGCTGAGAGGTCCAGGATTAAGGCACCAGCAGATTCTGTGTCTGGCAAGCGTGTGTTGCTCATAGATGGAGCCTTCTGTGTCCTCACATGAGGGAAGGGGCAAGGCACCTCTCTTCAGCCTCCCGTTCTCATGACTTAATCACCCCTAAAGGCCCTATCTCTTAATACTATCACATTGGGGTTTAGTTTCCAACATATGAATTTGGGCCAGGGTGAGGGAAACACCATTAATACTTTTTCTAGCTGCTAGATTCATTTTAAAACTCTCCTGAGTCCGGGCACGGTGGCTCATGCCTGTAATCCCAGCATTTTGGGAGGCCGAGGCAGGCGGATCACGAGGTCAGGCGTTCGAGACCAGCCTGACCAACATGGTGAAACCCCATCTGTACTAAAAATACAAAAATTAGCCAAGCATGGTGGTACATTCCTGTAATCCCAGCTACTAGGGAGGCTGAGGCAGGAGAATCGCTTGAACCCAGCAGGTGGAGGTTGCAGTGAGCTGAGATCACACCACTGCACTCCAGCCTGGGTGACAGAGCAAGACTCCATCTCAAAAAAAAAAAAAAAAAAAAAAAAAAAAAAGTCTATCCTGAGCTTGCAAAGCAGGTGTTCGGTACTTACAATAACTTCTTACCAGCATCAGTCGTGACTTTCCTGATACAATTTAACTAAAATAAAGTGGAGTGATAACTAGAACACTGAGGGCTACAAGAAGCTAGGACTGTCATCTTGAGCTTTGATTTCTACTTTTTGTCTCTCCCAAACAGTCAAGGGTCAGCTGCCTGTTTTGCAATAAAGTATTATTAGCCCATAGCCACACCCACTCCCATACATCCACACTCAGGCCACAAGGCCAAGATGAGGAGAGACCATTTCACCCTCAAAGTCTAAAATATTGATGACTTGGACTTTTGCAGAGATAGCGTGCCAACTCCTGCTCTGCGCAGTCACGGTGTTCTCTTTGAGCAGCTTGTAAATATTGTCATAAATGTAAATTTATAAAATTAATTGATAATAAAACACTAGTTTTTTTGTATTGGGGCTCCTCACAAGATTCCATCTTTTAAAAAAAGAAAAAGATTCTGTCGCTTTGGTAAAACTCGAAAACCACTGCGTTGTGGCATCGTCTGAGGGACAGTGACAGGCGGTTAGCAGTAACGTGGAAATAGCTCTGAAGGAAACCCCGGGACAGTGAGCCTTCAGGTTCCGAAACTGAAAATAACTGCAGGTTGGTCATATTTGGAAGTAATTTTTTAAACGTAAAATCATTCTATTACTATTTATTGTGACAAAATACAACAAAATCAGCAGGCTTCCGTGAATTGTTTCTCCATGCTTTAGAAATCTATGGTTACTTTGAAAGGTATACACTGATTTCTTGACACAGCTGGTAGAATGTTGTTCATATCCGCTACTCTGTTACATTTGTTAAATTATTTTTTTATTTTTGTAATTGACACATAGTAATCGTACATATTTATGGGGTACACAGTGATGGTGCAGTACATAGAATGTAAAATGATCAGATCAGGGTAATTAGCATGCCCATCATCGCAAATATCACTTTTTTGTGTGTTGGGAACATTTTTTTTTTTTTTTTTTGAGACGGAGTCTCGCTCTGTCGCCCAGGCCGGACTGCGGACTGCAGTGGCGCAATCTCGGCTCACTGCAAGCTCCGCTTCCCGGGTTCACACCATTCTCCTGCCTCAGCCTCCCGAGTAGCTGGGACTACAGGCGCCCGCCACTGCGCCCGGCTAATTTTTTGTATTTTTAGTAGAGACGGGGTTTCACCTTGTTAGCCAGGATGGTCTCGATCTCCTGACCTCATGATCCACCCGCCTCGGCCTCCCAAAGTGCTGGGATTACAGGCGTGAGCCACCGCGCCCGGCCGGGAACATTTAACATCCTCCTCCTAGCTATGTGAAACTGTATATTATTAGTAGCTATGGTCATCCTACAGTGGCGTAGAACATTAGAACTTGTTCCTCCTACCTAGCTATAATTTTGTATCCTTCAACCAACCTCTCCCTATCCCCAGTTTCCCCCCACCCTTCCCAGCCTCTAGTATCCTCTGTTCTTCTTTTTACTTCTATGAGATCACTTTTTTTTTAAGCTTCCATACGTGGGTGAGAACATGTGGTTAACTTTTGTTAAGCATTTTTAAGGTCTTGATTTTTACTCTTTGGAAAAGAAAACTGGGAACGTTTCAGTGCCCACAGTTTTATCTCCCCTGATTGGGCTGATGCGTGTCTGGAGACTGACCGCCACCTGCCTGGGAAGCTCCCGGGCCACACCTAAGCCACACTTCCCGGTGCCGTGCAGAATCGGAAGACATTCACTGATCCCCTTTGTGTCTTTAAAGGATATTCCCCGAGTCCCTCCGGTGGCTAATGGCCACCCAGCAGTTTGAGTCTGCAAAGAGGCTGATCCTCCACTTCACACAGAAGAATCGCATGAACCCTGAGGGCGACATCAAGGGTGTGATACCAGGTGAGCACACCGCGGGCTGGCAGGGCTCAGAGAGGCTCCACGGGGCAGGTCCCTGACACCTGGGCTGGTTTTGTTGCACAAACAGCTGTTTTAACCAGCTGTGCAATTCTCCTGTGACCTTTTGGCCTGCACAAGGGCAATGTGGCAACCTTGACATTCTCTCCATTTTCTAGGTGTTGGTTTCTTTCATGATCAAGTCCAGCACACTCTGGATCTGCTCATCTCCTGTCTAAATGCAGAAGCGAGCCATGAGCCCAATATACACTGCTCAAGGGAATATCTGGCTGTCTGGCCCATAGCCTACCTGCCTGCCAGGTCTAAACACTGCCAGAGCGCTGGCTCAGGGTGTAGATGGCCCCTGTGACCTCAGCTTTCCTGAGCATGACCTTCAGAGAGCCACCATTGTCTTTACCTGGCCATGACCTATTTGTTGGGCAGCTGAAGACAGGAAAGGTGAAGTGTTTTTGGATAGTCGTTCAGATCCATAGAATTCCTGCGTGTCAGGAGCGTTACCACAGCTAGGTGGGGGTTCTCAACCTGGGGATCCACGTATCACCAGGAGGTTGTTAAAATCCAGATTCCTGGGCCTCTCCCTGGCACCTGGAGATCCTGACCTGTTAGATTTGGGATAAGCCCTGAGAACTTGCATTTCTAATAAGCACTAGAAGAGATTCTGATGCAAGTGGTATACAGATTTCCGTTTGAAGATCACTGGTGGTCTCGGCCCAAGCTCTGACTCACTGCCCTCACTGAAGACCTGGGATAAATTGTTGCTATAAAATTCCCTGGGAAAATAACCTCCAGGCCATCGTCCAAGAGAGAATATGCTCATTTTCCCCCCTGACCAGAAATGCTTGTGATCATGATTCATTCAGTAAACCAACACGTGTTTACTAGATGCCTGCTGTGTTTCAGGCGCTATTCTAGAGCAGAGAAGACACAGGCAAAGCCTTGCTCTCACGTAACTTGCAGGCAGGTGGGGCACACAGACAGGGAAGTTACACGTGCATACGTCAGGAGGGATGAAACAGCAGGGCTGTGGGATAGAGGGTGGCAGGGAGGGACTACAGTCAGAGTGGCTGCGGAAGCTTTGCTCCAGGGGCACAGGTGCAGGGGCCTGAGTGAGGTGGGAGAATGTGCCCTGCAGGTATCCATTTACGATGGGAAGGGATGCACGGGAACCCCAAATCAGAGAAGCCCTTGGTACCTGGACAGGCCTCTCGTTAGACTCCCAGTTCAGAAGATCGGGGACACTAGGTCACTAGAAGCTCCTTGGTGCTGCCGTAGCTCAGCCAGGATGTCACCCTCTGCCTCAACTTGTGCAGGGCCGTGAGAGTCAGGTCACCCAGGCTGGACCACGTGCTGGGTGGGGTGGGGCCTACCCAGGGACGCCTGAAGCTTTTGCTTCGCTGGACAGAAGAAGGACATGAGCCAGGTCTGGTTGACATGAAGGGTGCTGAGTGCTGGTGCATCTGTGGTCCCTTTTTATCCAGGGACAGTGACGAGAAACACGATGACACTCACATGGCACTCACATTTCAGCTCCTTTTCTAAGTGATTTGCAAATATTAATTCATATTTAATATTTAGCCCCCAAGTGCTTCACGTGTATTATTTCTCCATGACAGCCTATGAGAGAGGCACTATAATTAGCCCCGTTTGCCGATGAGGAAACGGGAGCACAGAGAGGCTAAGCAGCTTCCAGAGGTCACACAGCTGCTAAGAAGTTGAGCGAGGACTTGTCCAGCAGGGGTGCAAAGTCCAGCAGGGGTGGCTTTGCCACGCTGCTCTAACATGAGGGAGAGCTCTGGATAGATACAAACTTCCCTGCGCTGAGTAGTGAGTACTCAATCCAGGTTTCTCCAGCGGGGCCATGCTTGCTCGTTTTGGACGGTCCAGATGGCTTTCCCAGATTTCCCCAGACCTCACTCGTTAGCAGGTTAATGCTCTTAGGCTTACAGTACAATTTGTTTGTGGCATTTCCCTAATTAAGTCATCACACTCTGCTTCTTTCACGTTAAAATATTGTCTGGGAATAGCTTGTTTTCTCAAATCCTAATTACACTGATTCATTTCCCTCCTATATTTGGAAAGTGGTATTAGATCCTTTTTAAAAATTTATTTCTTTGCTTATGAGTTTTGCTGGTGCTTATTTCCTTTCCAGAGTCCCAGGCAGGAGGCTGGGTGAGAGGCAGTTGGTGACATGTGACTTAACAAAGAGGATAGAGGCTTCACCTCCTTGGGGAGCGGTCCTCAGGTGGTGGCTCTGCCCCGCAGCCCTTCACAGTGGACTCTGCTCTCTTCCACCCCCAGCTGTCAGATGTGTTGATGGCAGCACGATTGGCAGGGCTGCTGAGTGTGGGGGAAGGCAGCGTGTCTTTCAGTTGCTACATCTCCCACTTCCAGCTTCCTCTGCCCAGGCTCAGTTTTCTGCATGGAATCTTCCTCCCATCACCCCATCTAATCCCACAGCCAACACCTGCTCCGAGCCTCGTGTCTGTCACCCTCTCGCGCCCTGGCCGGCTGGCTGGGCTCCCAGCTTTGTTCCATCCTCCCTGCCACCAGGTCACACATGATCTGATCACATCACCACCGGCTTCAAGCCTCTCCAGTGCCTCCCAGTGCCTTTCGGGTAGACCCCAGGTCCTCCAGGCCACTGCAGAGGCTCTGATCTCTGCCTCCCACCACCTCACACCCTGGCCTTCGTTTGGCTCCCAGGACACACCACCGTCTCCCTCTCCACAGGTCCCTCCCGGTGCACACTCCCTGTCCTCTCAGCTCCCCACTCTTGCCTTGCCCAGCTCCTCAGAGACCAAGTCAGCCCCCAGTTATTCACTGTTACAACTTCAGCACTTCTCCCCGCTTCCCCTCATCCCAGCTACGACGAGTAATTGCAGGGTTCCTTATTACTGCCTGTCACCCCTGCAGAGCGGCAAGGCCAGGCAAGGCAGGGCCCGTCTGTAGAGCCAGACACTTCTGTGCCCCCAGCAGCAGCCCAGCCGAAGGCCTGACGCGACGCGTAGCAGGTGTGCCATGAATATTTATGGGCTAAACGAACCCAGGACTCCTATAGGAAGGAAGGGTTAGGATTGCGGTTGCATTGCCACTGGGTAAGTAAGCGTCTCGGGCCTGGCTGGAGGTACGTGTAGGGGTCCAGTGGGGCTGCTCACTGCCCCATCAGTACATCCTAACCTTGGACTTATGCCGGGGGAAAACCTGATGTTCTCAAATTTCTTATTTCCTTTTCTCTTTTAAAGCTGTCCTTGGTTTATCTCCTAGCAAGTGTGAAGTTCTTACTGGCCTGTGCAGCTGAGTTTAGATATGTGGGTGTGTTCCTGAGCATCATTCTCTCAATGTCAGTCCTGCAACCTTCATATCACATAACGTGCCCAACTGCTGAGAGCACTCCTGTGTCATTAGTTCCTGAGGTTTTGAGCGTTTAAAGCAGGAGTAGAAGGCCCGCTGGTTCCCAATGTGGCCGTGTGGCCAGCAGCCTAATGCAAAAACGAGACCCGGGATGAGTGCCACACACGGCACTGTGCCTTCAGTTTCACAGGCTGAGCATCCCTTATCCAGAATGCTCGGGACCAGAAGTGTTTTGGGGATTGGATGTTTTGGGATTTGGGGATATTTGTATGATACTTACTGGTTGAGCTTTCCAAATCCAAAAATCCCAAATCTGAATGCTCCAGTGAGCATTTCCTTTGAGAATCATGTGGGTGCTCAAAAGATTCTCAATTTTAGAGCATTTCAGGCTTCAGATTTTGTAGAATCTCAAATGGTAGTAATGTAACTCAATGTAGAATGTCGAATGCTCAAATGGTAGTAAGATAAGCAAAAAGTCACTGGACAGTGACTGCCAGGCATCGGAGGAAGCGCTTCATATGTATCTCATCTGCATCTGAGCTTCATGAGGGAGAGGAGCCATTCTCCCTACTTTACAGGAACAGAACGGGCCCAAAGAGGCTGAGCAGTGGGGAGCAGTAACTCCATGATACCTCTCAGTGTCAGGCTAGCCCCAGGGGAAGGACGGCAAATGCACTCCTGTCTTCTTCCTTGTGGGGAGCCACGTGCAGGGTGCAGGCATCCTCCGTCCTCAGCATCAGTCCTCTCCGGGCAGCCCCACACCTCACCCCGGAGAAGCCAACCTGCCCAGCATTGCCAGGATGCACGGCTGAGTCTGTGTGATCCGAGCGCCCCCATCTTAGCCCCATGTGGGGCTCCCTACTACCCCTAGCAATGACAGAGCTTGGGTTTTGTCCTGGCCTGCCTCACTCTGCCTTAACAATCTGTTCAGATCCTAAGATGACGAGAGGGTGGATATGTCAGGCCACCTCCACGTTCCACGCTAGGTACCTTGCCCAAGTCACACCACCTGTAAGTGATGAAAGCAAGGTATGACCCCAGGCAGGCTGCACAGGGCCCTCACTCCACAGGCGACCGCCACGGCTCACTCAGAGGGCTCAGGTTAGGTGGAGCCTGTGTCTGGGCAGACGAGGACAGAGATGACAGAGGTCGGCAGTGCCCGGTCAGTTGTTGAAAGCTTGGCTAGACATTGAAGATTGTGCTGTCTGAGGTGACTTCGTGATAAGACTCCTGTGGACGCTTATCTTCCACTTGCTTTCAAGCACATTTATTCGAGTGGCCGAGTGGCCCCATTCTAAATCCGTCCCGGAGGGGTGAGGGGCTGTGGGGAAGAGGCAGCAGGTGCTTTTTCTACTTCCCAACACGGGTGTGGGGCTCAGGGCTGCCTCCTTGGAGCGTTTGGTGTGCTTTTTTAATGACTCATGTGGCAGAGATGGCAGCATCCCTTCTTCCCTTTCATTCTCTTTCTCCTCCTCCTGCTCCTTGTCCTCCTCCTTTTTCTTTTCTTGCTTTCCGTCTCTATAACTGATGTTTTTCCAATTTCACCCCTAACGCACTAGCATCGTCCACTAGGATGACAACAAAGCCGGTTTATCTCATACCCCCACGCAAGCCAATTCCAATTCTCCTCTGCGTGTGTTTTCCCTGCTCCTCCTGAGCCTGGTCTTGGGCGAGTGGCCACTGCGTCCTCTGCTGTCCTCGGAGGCCTGGTTTACCTCTCACACCAGATGGCCAAATGTGGAGAGGCCGTGCCCTCCTCCCAGCGGGTCAGCAGGGTCATCAGGGCCTCCTTTCCCTCCCTCTGTTGGTGAAGAGAAGCTGGGAGATGTTGGGCTCACTGAGCACGGGGCGGGAAGACACGTGCTCCCCGAGTGCTCCCAGAGGCCGCGCCGAGTTCTCCCATCCGGCCCTCAAGGCAGCGCTTCATCCTACTTCACAGACGAGCAGCTGGGCTCAGAGCAAGGACAGCGTAGCTTTTCCAAGGAGAGCGTAGCTTTGCCGGAAGTGCAGAAGCTGGGTTCCTGCCCAGGCTCATCGGGCCCCTCACAGCACCCAGACCTCAGCCCCGACCACACGGGGATCCGTGAAAATGTGGAGGCACAGGGGCTGCAGGATGGCCTTGGACATACCTGGCTCATCAAAATTCAGTCGGCTCGACGTGGGTTTTGGTTGGAAAATTTTCTGATGGCTCTAAGTCAAGCAGGCTGATGTGTCCTCCTCCTCCTCTGTCTCGAGGAGAGCATGGGAGCTGGGTGCTCGCAGCAGCAAATCCTAGATGCCAGTGTCCCACAACCTGGCCGGGCTCCCTGTTGCCCATTCATTTCCATGTGTGAGGAGTTTAGAGAAGTCTCTAGATGTCCATCTGATACCTGGACAGACAAAAAGGCCTCTTGGATTCAGCTACCATTGAGGGTGTTAGAACCATCTGAAGTGTCCTATAACATAGAGCGCTGCCTTGAGGGCCGGATGGGAGAACTCGGCACGGCCTCCAGAAGCACTCGAGGATTTGAGGCCCAGAAGAACAGATATAATGCTGCGGAAGCTTCATGCTGTTGTTGACAGGCTGGTGATGTGAGTAACTGGTAGTAAGATAAGCACAAAGTCATTGGACAGTGACTCTGCCAGACATGGGAGGAAGCGCTTCATGTGCTTCCTGAAAACATATCAATAGCCCTGGAAAGGTTAATCTAATTCCACTTAGAAGAATTCAGTTACCTCTGCAGACTACAGTCAATTTTTTAGACTGGGTTCTAGGTTTAATTTTATTTAAAAAGCTCAGGTCATAATGCAGTTGTTATTGCTTCTTTAACATCATACTTAGTAAACAATAACATATCAGGAGTTCAGTTTGGGGTATATACTTTTTAAAACTTTAAACTTATATGGACTTGCTAATGGACATTGAAATTTTCTTCTCGGAAGTCTTCCATGGTGAGAAAACGTAGCTATTACAGTTGGTTTCTGATGAGTTCTATAATAGCAAAGATATTCAGATCATTGGATCCAAGGTTTTCTGTTAACCATGATATTTTCAAGCTCTTTATAAAATTAGTTATTTTAACCATGGAGAAACTGTGCCTGTAGTCAAAGTAGCCCATTTTTGCTGAGGAAAAATAATGGACCTTGGGAGCTGAGAGGGTCCGTGGACCAGCAGCTGAAACGCCGGCCCTGTGGGCTTACACACAGACCTCAATCTTTGCACCCAAGTATGGCAAGGGAGAAAGTTCTGGAAACTCAGTAGACATGAGCTCCCTCAGACAAGTGAAAGGTTTCTCCTTCTCCCTTCTGTGCCCTGGCTGGTGACACTCAGTTCAAAAACAATGTTTGAATAAAAACATCATTGCTTTATTCAAATCCCTACGGTTTAGCAACACATTTTTTCTTCAAACTATAATGAAAGAGCTTTGTGACCCTCCTACCGCTGGATGGCAGGAAGGAGGTGGAAGAGGAGGGTTGAACTTGAGCCATCCAGGGTTCAGAGTGGCCCTCGGAAGCACAGGGCCAGGGTCCTGGAGACACAGCCCCCGAGGGAGCAGAAGGATCCCTCTAGAGGCAACGACAGACCTCCCAGTACTCGACTTCCCAGATTGCGAATGTCTGATACTGTCGTGGTACTGTTGTCGAAACTAAAAGAGTGACATTGGAACACTACCATTCACCAAACCCCAGCCTTTATTTGGTGCCTCCCATCATCGTGCTTTCCATGACGACTCCTCCCACCCGGGATGCCGCCCAGGACTGCGTCTTGTCCTCCCCTCTCCCTAGTCTCCTGGTCTGACAGCTGCTCAGTCTTTCTTGTTTCTGGTGACCTTGACAGTCTTGAAGAGTCCTGGTTCCCCTCCGCTTCGGGAAGTCTCCCTTTTCTTTTTTAGCTCCCCAGTAGGGGATTACTCCATGAAGACATGCCAGGCTAGGAAGGCAGAGAGGCAACAGAAGGCTGAGGTGGCATTCCTGCTCCCAGACGTGCAAGCAGACAGCTCCTGGAGGCCAGCACCCCCACCATTCTGAATCTTCCCTGTAAATTGCCAGATCAACACCAGCACCTCTGCAGACCCCTTGGCCTGGTGAATGTAACACTGTGCGCTGGTGGACTCCCTTCAGAGGGGCTTTCAGAGCCGCTGGAGCCGCACAAGAAACTCAGTCTCATGACTTTATAGTTGCTCACATCCCTTGGAGCCAAAATATTGTCCAGCCCCCAAGGACTTCTGTTAACTAAAACATGCACACGTATATGCATGCGTATGAATGTGTGCATGTATGGTGTATACACATACACGCAGATGTGTTCACTTATGTATTTGGCTTTCAAAGATGCATATGATGTCCTAAGGGCAGTTTCAGCAGAAGTAGCTACAGCCATAGTTCCACCCCACAAGGCTAAGAAGCATATCTGCATGTGGCCTTCCCAGTCTCCGAGCCGGGGGTGACACAGGCAGATGTAGAGTGTACGGAAAAGAACTGCATGTTTAGATTTGCCCAGGGCCTAATGAGTGCCTCAGTAACCTAGAATATCATCGCTGAGCTCTGTACTCAGACAAAAGTGAACTGAGTCGAGACCGTTTGTGTGCACTCTGACTGGTTCCAAAACAAGGGTTTGTGATGGAAACTTCTGCTGACGGTGCACCTTGGTGCCCTCTCAGGCACCCGAGCGAAACCTGAACTGCAAAGCTGGGGTCTTATGAGTGCCTTTCTATCCTGGAAACCTAGACCCTATCCACTGGCAAAAAAAAAAAAAAAAAAAAAGCTTCTCTCTCCCTTCTGTGGTACCCGAACTGGGGAACCAGGGCTGTGACTGCAGCTGCTGTCCTGTCCTCTGTGGGCGGCCTGCCCAGGGCTCACAGGGTCTGTTTCTTTGCAGAGCTGGAGAAAGAGCTTTCCCGGAGGCCCAAGAAGGTCTGCATCGTGAAGGTGGTGGGGACACGGAACCTGTGGAAGAACATTGTGGTCCTGTGTGTGAACTCGTGAGTCACAGAGGACAAGTGCCAGCTGGGTGGGAGGGGGCCAGGGAAGAAGGTGGGGAGTGGTGAAGCCCAGGGCCCTGCTCCCCACCCCGCTGAACTTGGAATCCTAAGGGTGTGTGTGTGAAGAGTGACACGGGCTAGAAGATATTGACCTCCCCCGCTCCCGGAAGCCTCAAGCAGCCGGTGCCCCCCAGCCCAGGCGTGTAAATCCTGTGAGCAGGGCCTCCCCACCACGTGCCCATGAGGTCCAGGAAACCAAGATGCACATGGACGCACCTCCTCAGGGGCACAGTGGGGGATGCCACAAGGCTGGAAATTCTGGGCCCTGTCTCAGGACAGGGGATTTGAGACCCATGAGGCCTTGGCCCCTGCCTGTAGCCGGCCCCGCCCTTCCTGAACCTGCAGCCAGCCTGGCCAAAGGCCCCAGGACAGCCGTGGGTGGAGGCAGGTGGGCCTGAGCCAGGCCAGTGAGCGCAGACCTCCTCCCAGGGCCCTCACCGGCCCAGGTCGCCCCGCCTGCTGGGTCCTGCAGGGGCTGGGGGCATCACTCACGCAGGTTCTTTGCAGCCCAGTCCCTGGACTTGGTGTGTACCTAGAAGGTCACTCCTGTCTTGAGCTCAGTGGCCCTGACTGTGCAAGGTGGTCCCTTGTTCAGGGTCAGAGGTCACCAAGGTGGCGGAGGGAAGGGATTTGACTCATTTGGGTTAGAGGTCACCTGGGGTGTTGCACTCATTTGTGAAAGGTCTCGAGCTGCCACCAGGTAAAGACAGGCCCAGGGTGAGGGCGAGGGGCCAAGCATCCCCCATGGCTTTTTCTGTCAAAGCAGCTCATCAGTTCTCCATATTGGGGTTCTGGGTTGAAATTGATTTGTGAGGAGTACAAGAGGCTCTACTGCCCAAACAACAGTAGAGCCTCATCCTGAGCTCAGGAGAGAGACCAAGGCCAGGGACCGGCCACGGCCACATCAGGCCAAGCCCAGGGCCTCAGCCTTGGCCACTCTGCTGCTGCCTGGTTCAGGTAGATGCTGGGTGAGCTGGCGGCACTGTTAGGAGTTGAACGGCTTCTCTACATTTTATGTTGGAAAAAAACATGAAATTTGACATAAGATGGTGAGTTTCCATTTTAATGATTCGTTTTGTGGAGACGGGGAACCGAGCTCTCTGGCTCTGTTATCTTCAGATGACCTGTTGTGGTCAGGGGAGACTTCATTTCTACCAGAGCAAGAAGGTAGGAGATTGCCCTGCTATCTCAGCAGGCCAGAAGAGGAACTCTGGAGGCTAACTGAACCAAATCAGTTGCTGGATTATAAAGCCATTGTGCGGGGGCTGGGGCCTCTGCCTATTTCCCAAGAGGAAAGGCATTCACCTGGCAAGGGGTGGCTTCCCCCTATGGGGCAGGGACGGGGTCTGTTACAGTTGACCTTGATGCATTCTCAAGGTTAGATGAGAAGGACGTAGATTTCCCTGAAGCACGAAAGGGTGTTTGGGGAGAGAAGGGGGCAGTTTTTGGCTCTGGGATGGTTGCCAAGAGCAGACATAAGAAGGGTCCCTCGAGGCACCACGGGTGCATCACAGGTACACCCCAAAGGTTCCTGAGAGCCCTGAGGCACCCCATGGATGGCCATCAGCAGCCTCCGTGGGAGGGTGCAGCCACGCCTTTGTTCCTGTTTTCAGGGCAGACACGTTTTTCCAGCAGGTTGATACGCTCGTGTGGGGCAATAAAGAAGCTTGACCCAGGGCAGTGGAGGGGAAACAGGGATAAATTAAGAATCAAAACGGAGGCCGGGTGCGGTGGCTCACACCTGTAATCCCAACACTTTGGGAAGCCAAGGCAGGCGGATCACTTGAGATCAGGAGTTCGAGGCCAGCCTGTCCAACATGGTGAAACCCTGTCTCTACCAAAAAATACAAAAATTAGCTGGGCATGGTGGCAGGTGCCTGTAATCCCAGCTACTTGGGAGGCTGAAGCAGGAGAATCACTTGAACCAGGGAGGGGGAGGTTGCAGTGAGCTGAGATCTTGCCACTGCACTCCAGCTTGGGTAGCAGAACACGGCTCTACTCAAAAACAAAACAAAACAAAAAAAAAAACAGTTTCCTGTGGACCCTATATGTCTTCCATTGGCCTGGCTTCTGCCCGACTCCTCCAGGCTGTGTGGGTGGAGTTGAGGCTGGTATGGATAGATCTCCACCCTTCCAGAACCCTAAGTGCCCAGAAAAGCTGCGTCTCTGAGTTGCCGCTTACCCGCCGAGAGCCTCGTGCGAGCTGCTCTGCCCCCCTGCCCCTGTGAAGTGGGTGTGCAGTGGCTGTTGGATTGCGGCCCTGGGTTAAATGAGTCAGTACCTGGAAAGCGCTTTGTCTTGGAGGATTCCCATGAAAGTGTGTGTTTTAACAAAAGGACTCACTGCTCTTGTGCCCACACCTGTCTATTAAAGCCATGGTAGTGGGGCATGAGCCTGGACCTCCATCAGGAGAAGCATTCCATATTTCTCCCACGTCTCCTCTTTTGCATTGGCTCTGTAATCTGCTCGTGGTTCGGTCATGATGGGCTTTTCTATGACACATTGAGTTGCTTCTTCATCTCCTGGTCACCTGACAGCACGAACTCCCAGGAGGCAGCGCAGCCCCTGGCATGGGGGCAGCCCACCCACTGCCGCTCGGTATGTCTCCACAGGCTGACGGGGTACGGGATCCACCACTGCTTTGCCAGGAGCATGATGGGCCACGAGGTGAAGGTGCCGCTCCTGGAGAACTTCTATGCTGACTACTATACCACGGCCAGCATCGCGCTGGTGTCCTGCCTGGCCATGTGCGTGGTGGTCCGATTCCTCGGGCGCAGGGGAGGGCTGCTGCTCTTCATGATCCTCACCGCCCTGGCCTCACTCCTGCAGCTCGGCCTCCTCAACCGTGAGTGGGTCGGGGAGGTGGGCTGGGTGCAGGGAGGGAAGCTGGCAGATCCCCAAGGGCATTTGAAAGGGCTGCATAAGACTCCGCTGGCCACTCTAAAATCTACTGCTGGAAGGAGCTGCTTTGGGGAGAACAGAGCTTCAGTTGAGAGCATCTGTGGAGCCCGCCTTAGAGGGCACTGGGCCTTCCCGCCTCCCCCTGCCCCTGCCCCGGCCCGGGCTGCACCATGATTCCTTCCGAGTCCTGGTGGCCCAGTCTTTGCTAATAGGTAGACTGCTTCTGTGTGATTCATCACATGACCAAGAAGAACAAAGGATTGTCTCTTTCGAGTGACATTAAGGGGGAAATAAATCTGTTTTGTCACCCTTGCATTAGGGCCCTGCTTTTCAGCAGATGTTCCCGAGTTCATCAGCTTCTCTTTGGACCAAAGAATTTCTCAGTAAAGGTTAAAAATAATCTGGCCGGGTGCGGTGGCTCACGCCTGTAATCCCAGCACTTTGGGAGGCTGAGGCGGTCGGATCATGAGGTCAGGAGTTCAAACCAGCCTGACCAATGTAGTGAAACCCCATCTCTACTAAATATACAAAAAATAATTAGCTGGGCTTGGTGGTACACGCCTGTAGTCCCAGCTACTCAGGAGGCTGAGGCAGAAGAATCACTTGAACTTGGGAGGCAGAGGTTGCAGTAAGCTGAGATCGCAGCACTGCACTCCAGCCTGGGTGACAGAGCAAGACTCCATCTCAAAAAAAAAAAAAAAATCTAAGGCAAAGCTAGAGAGTCCATCTGGCCCTTCCAGCAAGCTCTGTATAGCTCCTCACCAACAAATACCCATTCCCGTGTATGGACAAACCACCACAGCATCTCCGTGGCCAGCCCAGGGCGCGACGTGAACAGGCAGGACCGATGAGCCTCTTCTCCCACCCTGGCACGGTCCTCCTGGGACAGGCTCAGGACACTGCGGGAACATCGACCCCACAGAGCTCCCCTGCCTTTACAAGGAAAATGAACCCGGGCTCTCAGAACTAGACGCCAGGGCTGTCCACCGCACCCAGATCAGAGCGGCCTTGTCGTGCAGCCTAGATTAGAGATGGCTCACTTCAAACTCAGGAGCAGCTTTCTAACTTGGACAGTTCTTATGCAATCTATACCTTGCTGGGAGACTGCTGTTAGGCTTAGCTAATGGATTGCACACGTGGCGCCTGTCTCCCTCCATCCCCGTTCCCCAGCTGCCCTTCCAGGGAGTCTCCTGCTCACACAGTTGGGACGGAAGTGGCAGGGTGCCTCAGCCCCCGGGTGTTGTGGTGCCCCTTTGGCCCTGAGCAGGAATGCACAGGAGCCCCAGGCGAACACCAAGCAGCCGTGAGGAGCAGAGCTGGGGCTGGCAGGGGCACCCCACAGCACTTGACGCAGCTTGAATGCAGGCGGCAGTGACCTGTGGGTGACTTTACATGCAAGGAAGCTCACCCTTTGCACCTGCTGGGGTCTCACTGTGAAGGTTCCATTTTCTCCTCAGGCTCTGAGGCCAGCAGGGTCTCACTCCTGTCTTCCTAACAAAAAGATCTTTGTTTAGCGCAGTATGAATTCCACTGCCCCGGCGGCCAGCGCCATCCCAGACACGGAAGGGAGTTTGCTTGAACCAAGTCGCATGGGAACACGCTAGGCTAACTCCACACCTAATGTGCTCTCTTCTCTCTTCTCGCTTGCTTGGCCCTTGTCCGTGTGGGTGCGATCATGTCTGCGGGTCCAGTGATTGGAAAGTACAGCCAGCACCCAGACTCAGGTGAGTCCCAAGCGCGTGGGCTGTGCTTCCTCGTCTCATATTACATCTAAATGGGTGTTTTCTCGAAGACTCACGGACCTGTGGTTTCCATTTTCTCTTTCTCCCCGTTGCCCTCCAAGAACTGCAGCTGAAGTTGGCCGTAGGTTGGACACTATA
Source organism: Homo sapiens (assembly GCF_000001405.40). Taxonomy (NCBI): domain Eukaryota; kingdom Metazoa; phylum Chordata; class Mammalia; order Primates; family Hominidae; genus Homo; species Homo sapiens. The sequence goes on along the minus strand of NC_000006.12, from coordinate 3,284,922 downwards.
CGGATACATTTGTATTCTCCCTCTTGCCTCTAGAAAGAGCGACTGGTGCTTCCCTGTTTGTGTGCTGCTTGGCACGCATGCCCCCGCCCCTTCCCCTGGCACCAGGCTCAGCACAGGCCCTGGCCCGGCGCCAACATGCTTTGTCTTAGGGACAGTTGTCTGGGTGGGGGGAGAAAGCCTGGGAGTGCTGGGGCCCGGCTGTCTGTGCTGCCAGGGGAAGCCGCTGTCCCCCTTTGACTCATGTAAGCTTGCTGCCCTGCAGCCCATGGGGACAGCACAGTGCCGCCCTGCACCTCGAAGCTGCTGCTGCACCCGCCTGGCCTGCCCCAGCCCTCGCCCGTGTCCCTGGAGAGTGCTTGCCCTCTATGCAGCCTTGGGGAAGCTGAGCTGAGCCCCAGCTGTATGGTCCTGACAGCATGCCCGTGCACTGTGCCAGACCCTGTCCTGGCGCGAGGTCGGTCTCCGGTGCCATTTACGAGGGCTTTGATGGGTTGAACACTTGCCTTCTGGGCCCATAAATTCTGTGGCTTGAGTTTTTGTTTCCTTAAATCAACCCTGACTCAGCTACCCTGTCCCACACGTTGGGCACATCAGACCTGACTGGAGCAAACATAGGCCAGGGCAGAGGGATGTCGCTGTGGCACCAGGGACATGCCAGCCTGCCCTCCCACCAGGCATGGCTCCCGGCTGAGGAATTCCAATAGAGGCCACCATGAGCTTCAGCATGCTTGACGCACAGGGACTCATAGAAGCCCCACAAAACCCACTGCAGGGGCTCTGGGCTTCTAGTCCTTGAGGTGCTGCTTGGTCCCCAGAGGGAATTGCATACCCATCCATGCCGCAAGCTGGACACTGGGAAGGAGCTGTGCTGTGCAGCCCCAGGCCTCCCTCCCACCCTGGCCTGGCTTCCTCTCTTCCCTCACCACCTTCTTCTGACCTTCCCCCAGGGATGAGTGACAGCGTCAAGGACAAATTTTCCATCGCGTTTTCCATCGTGGGCATGTTTGCCTCCCATGCGGTGGGGAGCCTCAGCGTGTTCTTCTGTGCGGAGATCACCCCGACGGTGATAAGGTGCGTCATGGGAGACACCCCAGGGGACGCCGGCTTCTCGGAAATCAAAGACGAGTCCCTGGCTCCAGGCTGGTGTGGGATTAACCAGCGTCAGCTCTGTCTCTGGCTCTGGACACATCAGCTTCGTGGTTCATAGCTGAGGTGGCTGTTGGACCCAACCCCGAGGCGCCCAAGAGGCAGTGAGAACCTGGCCCTGGGGTCCTGTCCAGGCAGCAGCAGGAGGAAGGGGGAACAGGGAGCTACTCTGGGCCCAGGAAATATGTCAGTGTCTGAGCGTCTGGCAAGGGGGGGAGTGCAGCGGATCACTTATGCCGCACTTCCACCAGAACCTGTGCTGCCAACTCTGCTAAGAGACCTCACGGCACAGCTAGTGCAAAATGTTTCACAAAGTAGAAAGAGCCTACCCCCCGGCCCTCCCCGAGATGGAGTTTCACTCTTATTGCCCAGCCTGGAGTACAATGGCATGATCTTGGCTCACTGCAACCTCTGCCTCCCAAGTTCAGGTGATTCTCCTGCCTCAGCCTCCAGAGTAGCTGGGATTATAGGTGTGCGCCACCACGCCCGGCTAATTTTTACATTTTTAGTAGAGACGTGGTTTCACCTGGTTGGCCAGGCTGGTCTCGAACTCCTGACCTCAGGTGATCCCCCCACCTTGGCCTCCCAAAGTGCTAGGATTACAGGCGTGAACCACCGTGCCAGGCCAAAAGAGCCTTATTTCATACTGACCTGAGAAGTTGATGTCATGAATCCAAAGCGAGCACAGCGAGTGAGATTACTGACTCATGTAAGAAACATGGATGGAGAGCCCACTGCGCGCCAGACACTAGGCCCAGAAAACACAGCAGCACAGTCCCGCCCTCGTGGAGTCTGCGGCCATTTCATACCTCCCTAAAAGGTGTGACTAACCTGTGCTCAGCCACTTTTGCTTTAGTTCGGAAAGTGAGGCTGACCCCTTCCTGGTGCCGTCTCTGCCCCTGGGTCGTGGTTCATGGGTGCTACACGCCATTTACTGTTGCCACCATGCTTATAGGTTAATAAAAAGGCACGCCTCCACTAAAAGGGCATCACTCAGCTGCAGTCATTTTCCTACACTGTTTGTGACTTACTGAGGAGCTTGAGTTATACCACACTGAACTTCTTAAAGGAGTATCAGCATTTCTCATGCACGTGCCTTCATAAAACAGAACTTGAGAGTAATGGCAGTAGTTCAGCCGTGAGTCAAAACCCAGGTGTCCGCATAATGACACCCTTGGGAAAATCCAGTAGCGGCTATTCCAGTCCAAGGCAGACTATGTGGAGGCTAAGCTGGGGAAGGCTTTGGGAGCAAGTAGGCAGGTCCGTGGACTTTCTTACTTTCCACATTTCCAGTAGCCATGCTAACAACAGCATCTTCACGTCCACACTTTTTGATTCATTCTCTTGGATCGTATCCTACAGGCCCAGCCTGACAGCTACTGGGCACCTGGACAGAAATGCCAAGGCATTGTATGATTAAGCACAAGGAACTCATCCTGTCCCTACCTTCTGCATCAGCCACAGGGGAGAGATGAGTCAGGAGCTTATTTAGTGCTTGCAGTTGCAGGATACCTCAGGCCGACCGCAGGCTCACTCCCTGTCTAAAGGACGGAAAGTGAAATTTCTCTCCTTTATCAAACAAAACAGCAAAGCCAAGTCTTTCAATAGACCAGAATCCACAGTCAGACCTTCTGGGTTTCCAGCTGGCCTCCTGCAGCCTTTGCATGATTATGCATATTTTGTTGGGGGAGGGGGTGGCTAGCGGGTACCCCTTAACTCTGGCAGTTGGTAGGCATCATTATTCTCTGTTAGATTTGGCTTAGCAAGCTAGACGGAAGGAAATGCTGTAAGCTTTTCCTCTTTGACGCAAACCTGGAAAGATTTGAGGATAGAAATTCAACAAACATGTTCTCAGATTCAGCTTGCCAAGATGACAAACTGGAAAAAATATGTGACCCTTGGTGATGCTTTTGTGCCTGCAGAGGATGAAAGGAAATTAAGTCCAAAGGGGGTCCCTGGGCCAGGCTGGGAGAATGTCTAGCGTTCCTGACAAATCCCTCTTCTCGCTGGGAGCCCTTTTCACCCGTGCCATCGGGAGGCCACAGCTCTTTCTTGCAAATGACTGAGGAACAATTCCCACGGAGGCCCTAGGATGGAAGTAGACTCCCCTACCATCCCCCCACTTCACAGAGAAAATTCCAAGATAAGCCACGATGGGCAGCCTGGGGCCCGTGAGCTCCATCTTTCTTAGCACAGAACTAGCCTTTCCCTGTGACACTATTACAGACAAGCCTTCTGGCAGCAAAGGGTAAGGGGCCAGGATGGACTGCCTGGAAGCAAATATTAGGATATGAAATTTTCTGCAAAAAGTTCAAAAAATGCTTTTATACTTTTCATACTTGTTCCACCACAAAAAGCAACAAAGGCCTGCAGAAATCTATTGCCCCAAGGATGATAGAGGCCAAGTTAACTAAATATTGTTTCATGAGATTCTGTTCAGACCTCGCGTTGACAGAACCAGCTACCCGCTCAGGCCCAGGCCAGGTGGTGGTTCTCATCAGCCAGTGCACAGCTCTGATTCATCTGTAAGACATTGGGAGTTGGGTGACTTTGCAAGTCTATCTGACTGTGCCCATCTCCCAGCTTGACATGGGCAGAAGTGGCCTGGGGTCCTGGGCGGATCTGGAAGCAGCTGCTGGCTGTGCTGGGGCGGATCTTTTCTATCCACTGTCCATCTGGATGCTCCAGGTGGGCTCCGAGGCTTCCTTTGCCCTCACGGAGGGGTCCAGGTGAGAGAGGAGGCAGGCGCTGGTGATCATGACACCCGCCTGTTTTCTCCTGCCCTGCCCACTCCGGCAGCCCTGGCCCTTTCTAGATCATAAGTCGGACAGGCCTCCCTGAGACACTCCCTGACTGACGACTCCCTGACATCTGTCTTCCGCTCTAATGCTGCCTCAAGAATAGGCACCGAGGGCCAGGATGACCTGGGGTTAAGGGAGTATCAGAGTCTGTTCAACTTCTTTAAAAAGTTGTATCTTAAAGGCCGGGCACGGTGGCTCACGCCTGTAATCCCAGCACTTTGGGAGGCTGAGGCGGGCAGATCACGAGGTCAGGAGATCGAGAGGATCTGGCTAACACGATGAAACCCCGTCTCTACTAAAAATACAAAAAAAATTAGCCGGGCGTGGTGGCGGGCGCCTGTAGTCCCAGCTACTCAGGAGGCTGAGGCAGGAGAATGGCGTGAACCCAGGAGGCGGAGCTTACAGTGAGCCGAGATCGCGCCACTGCACTCCAGCCTGGGCGACAGAGCGAGACTCCATCTCAAAAAAAAAAAAAAAAAAAAAAAGTTGTGTCTTAAAAATGTCACATCTGAAAACAAGTACTGAGTAGCAGACAGGAAGCCAGCATGCGTCCCATGCCGGCAGCGCCTGTGGCGTGCGAGCGATGAGCAGCGGGGCAGGATGAGGGGAGGGTGCTGATGATATGGCCCGGAGCCTGGGAAGGAACCAGACGGAGCTGCCCATGATCCTGAGGCCGCCTCCCTGTGTGGCCTTGGGTGGGTCCCTCGGCCGGCTTTAGTGTCCTTGTCTTAAAACAAAACTGACTACAGGCACCTTGTTAGGCGGGGGTGGAGAATGGAGGCCATGTGCAAAGGGCCTGGGCTCAGCACAGGACAGTTCATATTCTTCTTCTTCGCTGGGCATCTTCAGCAGTTGTATTTATTTCTATAAAAAATGGTACAAATATTTGCTTATCCTCAACTTCACAGAAATTTAGTCAAGTCACATTAAGTAATATAAAAGAGGAGCTAGAACAGGAGCCTCGCCTCGGGTGTTTCAATGTGAGATGGTAACGTTCACATGGCTAACAGCAATTTGATTCTGGAATCCTTAATTCAATGAAGTTTGCCATTTCTAGTAAGAAGTCGGCCTGCATATCAGTTTTCCTACCTTATTGAGATCCTATTGCTAGTAAAATAAAGATATCCCGTGGGTATTACAATTTTGTGCTCCTAAAGCCCAAGGAGGCAGTGTGCGCCCTCGGTTCTCTGTCCGTAAATCAAGCAGCTCTGACTTCTAAACACGGGCGTATGCTGCCCTCTAGTGACAACCCAGAGAAAAGCAGAAAAGGCACTGGCAGAGCCCACATTTCAGGGGCAGGAAAGGAACCCAACACCTTAAAACCAAGGATGTAACAATCTCTTTCTCTGAGATTTCAAGAGAGAAAAAAAAACAAAGCCAAAAATGGCATACCAACTTCTGCCAAAATTTTTCCTAATCGTACTGAATGATGTCAAGGATTTTTTTTTTTTTTTTTTTTTTTTTTTGAGACGGAGCCTTGCTCTGTTGCCAGGCTGGAGTGCAGTCGCGTGATCTCGGCTCACTGCAACCTCCAACTCCCTGGTTCAAGTGATTCTCCTGCCTCAGCCTCCCAAGCAGCTGGGATTACGTGCACGCGCCACCACACCCAACTAATTTTTGTATTTTTAGTAGAGACGGGGTTTCACCATGTTGGCCACAGTGGTCTCGATCTCCTGACCTCGTGATCTGCCCATCTCGGCCTCCCAAATTGCTGGGATTACAGGCACATGAGCCACCATGCCCGGCCATATCAAGGAATCTTTGATAGAAAACCAGAGAATTGCTCCCACAGAAAAAAATAAAAAGATATATTCCATATTATATATGCATGTGTACATTTGTTGCATATTATGTATATACATATACATAGACATTTTTCTAATGATCTGCAAATTAAATATATTTCATTTTATTTGGCACAGTTAACAAGATAGATCAGTATGATGTGGTTCACCAGGCACAATGCAAGGCTTTTGTTCCATGCAGTTTGCCCTTTAACAGTGGCCCTCTGCCCACCCCTCCTGGGGGTCTGTACTCTGCCCTCCTGTATGTGACTCCCGTGTGAGTAAGGGGAGTCCTCTCACTGCTTGTCAGTGCCGTCCACATTTAGTGCCGGGAAGGTCAGGCAGAAACCTGGGAGGTTTCCGAGAAAATGCTGTCCCCATTAAAATCATGTCCATTATCCCTAGCATCTGATATGCCCTGTGGCTTCCTGAAAGAGCCAGGTCTACCAGAAAGACTTAATTGGCTATTTTAGGTGTTCAGTCTTCATCTTACAGAAGGATTTGGTCTTATTGCTCATTTCCGTGGTTGTCTCTATTTAACCTGTCCCATTCACCTGGGTGAGCTGACCTTCCTATCCAGGAAGCCCGTGTGATCCGCAAGCATCCGGTATTTATTAAGCACAAACAGCACGTGCCTGTTGATGTCCTAGAAAATAATTCTTGCCCTTGAAGGGCTCAGAGACTAGTAAGGTGACAGGCACATGAACAAATAGTGACAGAAAGATGCAGAGTGTCTTTGAACGGTGGTCTGGGACCCTCAGCCTGGGAGGAGTTTGAGTATCTGGGAGACATCCCCCAAATTCTTGCTCTTCCTCATCCATATCGTCTTCAGGCCCAGAAGCACAGTGGTGTGGCTATTCCTGCAACTCTTTCAGCCTCTCCCTGGGAAGGGCTTTCTAATATGAAGTGCTGATGCCTGTCACAGCCTGCATGAGAGGTGGCTGTCAGTCTCCCTCCGTGGCTAAGGCAGGGGAATCTGTCACTCACCGAGTATCTTGGTTTTCTATTGCTGCATAACCAATCGCTCCAAAACAGGGGCCTGAAGTAGCATGCATCTACTATCTTATGGTTTCCATGGCTCCAGAGTCTGGGCACGGCCTGGCTGGGTCCTCTGCTCCAGGTCTCTCAGAGGCTACCATCAGTGGGTAGGGCCCACCACTAAACCAAGTCAGGCACTGGTAGGCTGTTTCCTCACGGGCTGTGGGGCTGGCAGCCTCAGCTCCTTGCTGGCCGTTGGCCATAGGGACCACAGTCACAAGGCAGCTCGCTTCGTCAAAGCTAGCAAGAGTCTGCTAGAATCTGCCTTTTGGAACCTTGTTGTGGAAGGAACATCTCACTATCCTGGCCGTAAATTTGATTGCTAAAAAGTACGTTATTTGTACCTTGTACCTTGAGGGCCAGCGCACACTCAAGGCACAAGGGTGGGAATTACTGGGGCCAGTCTAGAAATCCGACTATAGCACTGAGTAGATGCCCAGGTGCCAGCCAGGTCTCAGTGGCTGGGCAGGTGCTGGGGACAGCACACGGAGTGGAGCCTGGTCCTGCCCTGGAAACATCTGGTGTCTATTAGAGACACACAGACACGCAATGCGAATGTGTCTTCGGGCTACACAAGTGTCCTGAGGATGCAGGGGAAGTGCCCAAGAGAGCCTGCTCAGTCTGGACTCAGAAGGGTGGCTGGGACGGGATTCCCAGGATGTGGCCTGGAGCCCGCACATAGTGGCTCTAGAGGCGATGCGTGTTTGGCAAGTGCACTGCGGCGGGAGGAGGTGAGGCTGGATTCCTAGGGCTCGGGGAGCAGGAGCAGAGGTTCCTGGAAGGGTGAGGGTGGGCGGGTGTGAAGCAGCTTGAGGAGGCAGTGTTTGCAGAGCTTGGTGCCTCACCGAGAGGAAGGCCAGGGTGGAGGAGAAGGGTCCCAGTGGCACAGCCCCCTCTGCCAACTTTTAGGACTCCATGTCATGCCTGGAGGCTTTAGGCCCATGGGAGAGGCTCATCCTGTTCGCCTCCCAGTTCTTGAACCTCTCCAGCTCTGGTTCCTCCTACACCCAGCTGCCCCCTAGACCCTGAAAGACTTGGGTGGCCCCTTCCCGGCACTCAATGGATGCCACCTGGAACCAATCAAGCCACGGATCTTCCTGTCCCCATGCTAGTCACATTCGTGCTTTAACCTCCACTGCACTTGGACATTGGAGCTTTTCTCATCCCTGTTTTATAGATGCAGACCGAGGCTTCGGGAAGTGAAGCTGGTGGGCGGGGGCCAGGATTCTAGCCCAGGCTCATGGGCTCCAGAACTCCTGCTCCCAGCCACGGCACTCGCACCTTTGTGGCAGCAAAAGTCTGTTCTGTAGCTCACTTTGGGCTGGCTCTTTTTATGTGGGTTTACTCAAGGCTTGGAGGCTAATGGCTGATGCCCCAGTCTTGACAATCATCTAATGGAATAAACATTAACGAAGACCCTGTACCAGAAGGCATCTCCTTCCTCGAGAAATGCACAGACGGCGCCCTACCCAGGTAGCCTGTGGGAGCTCGGCTGAGCCAGCATAGGCCAACCTCACAGAGCGAGCACCAGACAGAGCTGAGGGACCCCGGTGCCATGAGTATTGGGACTGAAAGGCAGAGGACAGGAGGAAGAGGTGGGGCCCCCAGGACCTGTGCATCACCTTGCAGGCAGGAGGGAGCCATTGGAGGACTCTGAGCAGCCAGGTGATATGATTAGCTCTGTGTTCTAGGAAAATCGGTTTGGCAATGGTGAGGAAACAAAGTCTAGGGGGTGCAGAAGATGCGCCAGGGAGGAGCGCAGACCCAGGCGGCCTGGAGTGGAGGCCCTGAGGACTTGGTCATGGGCTGGACAGGAAGGAGCTGGGAAAGGGAAGAATCCAGCGAGTCTTTGTCCCCTAGGGCTGCAAGCCTGGCAAGGCTGCCCTTGTGCCCCCAAGCCCTGTGCCCATGGTGGATGCAGATGGGTGGACTGCAACCAACAGAGAGGCAGTCATTTCTACATTAGAGGGAGAAAAGGCAGAGCAAAGTGTCTTCTCTTATTTTGTTACAGGACAAAAGCCCCCAACACACACACACACACACAATCACCATTCTTCCATTGCATTCTGAGAAAAAGGCTCCAAATCTGTGAATCTTCCTGGGGTTATTAGCATAGACCTGTGTATATCTGGTTTATGAGGGCCACCTGGGAACCCTGGGACTCCCATCCTCCCTGCCCAGGTCACCTTTGCCCAAGCCTCTTTGGGCATGAGCCACTGTGTCTGGCCTGCCCATCTTTTTACTGGATTATCTGTCTTCTTTTTGAGTTATAAGAGTGGCGTGGTGGCTCACGCCTGTAATCCCAACACTTTGGGAGGCCAAGGCGGGTGGATCACGAGGTTAGGAGATCAAGACCACCCTGGCTAACACAGCGAAACCCCGACTCTACTAAAAATACAAAAAATTAGCTGGGCATGGTGGCACGCGCCTATAGTCCCAGCTACTCAGGAGGCTGAGGCAGGAGAATGACATGAACCTGGGAGGCAGAGCTTGCAGTGAGCCGAGATCATGCCACTACACTCCAGCCTGTGCGACAGTGAGACTCTCAAAAAAAAGTTCTTTATATATTCTAGTTACAAGTCCTTTATCTGATATATGCTTCACGAATATTTTCTCCCAGTCTATGGTCTTTTTTTCTTAAACATGTATCTTTTGAAGGGTAGGAGTTTTTAATCCTAATGAAGTCCAATTGATCAGCTTTTTCTTTTATGGATCCTACTTTTGATGTTATGTGTAAGAAATCTTTGCCTAACCCAACGTCATAAAGCTTTTCTCTTGTTTTCTTCTAGAAGCGTTATAGTTTGAGCTAAGTTAAGCACTTAGATTTTATTATCCATTTTGAGTTCATTTTTTTACATGATGTGAAGGGTCCAACATCATTCTTTTGCACATGAATATCCTGTTGTCCCAGCACCACCTGTTGAAAAAACTATCCCTTCCCCCTCACTGGATTTGCCTCCATCTACAGTCAGTTGACCATAAATGTGAAGGTTAGTTTCTGAACTCCCAGTTCTGTTCCATTGATCTATTGATATATACACCAACACCACACTGCCTTAAGCCGTATGGCTTTATAGTTTTGAAACTGGGAAGGCAAGCCTTCTTTGTTCTTTTCCAAAATTGTTTTTGACTACTCTGAGTCTTTTGCATTTCCATATAAATTTTAGAATTGGCTGTTTTCTGAAAAAAAAAAAAAGTCACCTGGAATTTTGATAGGGATTATGTGGAATGTATAGATCAATTTGGGAAAAATTACCATCTTTATAATATTTAGTCTTCTAATTCATGAACATGGAATGTCACTCCATTTATTTTTATCTTTTAATTTTCAGCAATGTTTTATCTTTTTCAGCATACAAGTCTTGCATTCCTTTGTTATTTATTTCTAAACATTTTATTCATTGGATGTTATTGTGAATGGCATTTTCATTTTTGGGTGTTGCTAGCACGTAGACATATAATTGACTTTTGTATGTTGATCTTTTATCTTGTGACCTTGTAGGACAGTCTTTTGGTGAGTTAGGAGCTACCTATAGTGCCAACCAAGAGAACCACAGACTAGTCAAGAGCTGGAGTTATCTACCTGCCTCCTACCTGTTGCAGGGACCTCCCTTTCAGCCCACTCAGCCTCAGCAGTTCAAAGGATACAGCCCTCTTCACTTCAAGGGGGTGCCTAACGAGCAGCCCATTAGAAAGCTTCCCCAAACCAAAGGACCAGTCTACCTGCTGCTGTGGAGCGAGGCACACAACTCCACTCCCTCTTCCTTGAGACAAGGCCACCTCTGCCTACCTCCTTCAATGAGGCCCCAGAACTGGGGACCAGGCAGCCCTCTCTAGCCTGGCCTGACACCTGAGCGCCACGGTCCCACTGCAGCCTGGTACAGCACTGCTTTCTCAGGGGCCACAGAACACCTTTGTCCCAGTAATGTGTTTTTAGGTCAAAGTGGAGAGGTTTGAGGGATAGGGGTTCTGTAAGTTTTGCGTATCTACTAATCCCTGGGACTCTTGGCTGCTCCCGTACAAGGCAGGGAGTGGAAATCAATGGCTTGCCTTCTGGACTTTGGTTATCCTGAGCTCAGAGCTGCAGTGAGTTCCTCTCTGTCAGTGCACAGCTTCATTTGGGGGACCCTTCAGGCACAATCCTCAGAGATGGGACCGTTTCCAATGGTGGTATGTGAGCAATTTCAGGAGACACGTGGGCCATCAACTCACAGTGAGGAAACTACTCTTTTAAAGTATCTTGCAGTCTCTCCAGTTATGACAAAGAGAAAGTCTCTGTTCGTGTTGGTATGTCCTTAGTACCCTCTTTAACCCTTGGTAATCCCCCAGGCCTTCAGGAAATGGCATAATTTCAATCCCTTTTGTTTTTCCTTGTATACTACTTATGGCAAGTAATATCAGCTTCCCATTTACAGTAGTATTATATAAGGCTGCCTTTCAAAATAAAGTTCTCATGGTCCCCAGCCCTGAAAAAACAATAAAAATAGGAAACATTAAAGAAAAAGATAAATTAAGTAAAAGCTTTTGATTTGATGAGGAAAAACAGTCACTGCCGTAGAGTGGCCTTGTACAGACACAGCCAGGGTGCTGGTGACATGGGACGTGTGAGGTCGGGGTATACTGGGCAGTGCCCAGGGCAGCAGGGCCCCTGCAGAGGTGGCTTCCTGGTCCACCCCGAGCTTTCCCGGGATCCAGCCCGCTAGCCCACAGCAGCAATCCCTGTGCTTCCCTCCCCCTGCAGGTGTGGCGGGCTGGGGCTGGTGCTGGCCAGCGCGGGCTTCGGCATGCTGACGGCACCCATCATCGAGCTGCACAACCAGAAAGGCTACTTCCTGCACCACATCATCTTTGCCTGCTGCACGCTCATCTGCATCATCTGCATCCTCCTGCTGCCCGAGAGCAGGGACCAGAACCTGCCTGAGAACATTTCTAACGGGGAGCACTACACGCGCCAGCCGCTGCTGCCGCACAAGAAGGGGGAGCAGCCACTGCTGCTCACCAACGCCGAGCTCAAGGACTACTCGGGCCTCCACGATGCCGCAGCCGCGGGTGACACACTGCCCGAGGGTGCCACGGCCAACGGCATGAAGGCCATGTAGCCCGGCCTGCGGAACCCGGGGCTCCAGGGTCTGGGGCAGCTTGGGCACAGGTTTACAGACCAGGGACCGAACACGCAGCCAGGGGTGGGAAAGCTGCCTCAGCCAAGCTGAGCCTCTCAACTGGTGTGGGGAAATCCTGTCTTTCCAAAAGTCCAAGGAGCGCGGGTCGGAGGAGACAAACTCTTTGGAAATAACCCTTTCAAGACTTTCTTTTCTGCCGTTAAATGTGTGTATTTATTTTGGTCATTTTTACGAGAAGCACTTTATTCCCTCTCCCTCTCACTGATCACAAATGGAATCACCTCCCTGGGCAGCGAGACGCAGTTGCTCTGGGAAGATGCCACAGTGACCAGGGCCATGGCCGGTCCCTCTGGGGAGATGGGACACGGCTCCTGGCAGCACCCAGGAGCCCCCCAGGCTGCCTGCCTGCGTGCAGAGGCAGGAGAGGACCGTGGAGCGTTTCCGGGACTGCATTTTAGACGGAGTGAAATGTACATGAATTTGGCTTTTGCTAGAGTCTGTGTATGGTTTTTTAAGGTCCTTTTTCCCTTTCTGTTTGTAAGGTAAGAGCTTCTGTTCGTGTGCAGGGAAAGCAGCTCACAGACGCCGTTAAAACCAGCTTCATCTTTCCTTCAGGATCATCCTTTTGTACTTGATGCTGGAAGCTCTTGGAGAAAAAGCTTAAACATTTCACCAGAAATCTTAATTGAGCAGCAGTCATATCGCCACAGCTTTGTGAGTACACAGCTAACAGATGCGTCGAGACCTGAGATGTGCTCGTTTTTATTCCTCCTCTCCCAGATTGGCTCCAGCAGAAAAGTCCCTCGTGCACAGGCAGCTCTTGTGCCGGCACTACTTGAAAACATGGCTACTTTCTAAGCTACAAACCATTAGAAAATAACTCAAAAAGATGGCAGAGGCAAATCCACAGAAGGGGGGCTGCCCTCCACACACACACGCCCGTCACCCACACCTTGAGCACACACCATGAAGATCACCAGCTTGGATGGCCGTCACCTCAGACATCACTCCAGGGAGCACCCGCAGGAGCTGGGCCCCCTCACGCCTGCCTTCCTGGGCCAGCTTCCTGCTTGCAGTCACTCGCATAGCACAGAGGTGGGGCTTCGGGCAGGGAGCGGAGATTCCTCATAGGTGAGTCCAAATGACCTCCAGCCTCTCGAAGGCATCAAGACAAATTGAAAGAAAGCAATAACTCACCAAAGCTCAACGCTGCCCCTGCCTCGACCTCCATGGGTCTCTTCGTGTTCCTCGTTTCACCCCAGAAAGTGGAGGTTTCCTCTTGGCATTTTCGGAGGAAACTTGTAGGACACCCAAGGCGACTAAGAGACAGCCTCCTTGGCAAGGGCAGGCACCACTTTGTAGCAACTTGGGCACCAGCTTTTCTGGACAGCCTGGCTTCTTACTGGCATTGTCCAACTCATCCCTTCTCGAAGCATGTCTTTGCCATGGGCTGTGTCCTTCCAGGGAAATTGTGGTCTCGGGCCTGGGTGAGACAATGAAGTGACTTCCAACCGACAGTTGCTAGAATTCACAGGGCAGAAAAGGGGTTGACCTTCTCCCCTTCTGGCTTTCCACCCGGCCTGCTGCTTGCTGTCGCCACTCATGTCTCCTCCACATGCGGTCCACACATCAGTAAGGGCCTGGAGATGTGTAAAGACACAGCAAGGGGCAAGCAGACTCTTGGCCACGTGTTTCCAGTGGCTGGACCACGCCGACACCTGGGATCTTGAGATACCCAGGAAGGGAGGCTGTCTGGCCAGCCTCTCCCTGCCTCCACTTGCTCCACGTCCAGCTCCTCACCTTCCCTCTTTTTTAAAGTCACATTTCCATGTTTCAACATTAGTTTGCATTCACCTTTACAAAGGCCTTTCTTTAGATCTGTGCAGCCTTTGCGTGCCAAACTTGTGAAATTCCTTTTACCTTTTTTGGAGTACTTGCTATAAAGCCACCTGTCAACAAACCCCCATTATGTACAGAATAGGACCTATCCAGTAGCCAGGCCAGTAGGCAGTTGGGGAAGGTGGGAAGGATCCAGCGAGGCCCCTGAGCCTGCACCTGGACAGGTGTACGTCTGCACCCATCACCCTCAGCACCAGGCCACCCTGCAGTCCACTTACTGTACTGTGTTGTGGAAGGATATGCTAAGTGATGAAAGTTGCGAGCAGTCTCACTGGTCGTGTAAACTTTTTTTTTTTTTTGGAAATTGAAGCTGTAGAGTGCTGCCCGAAATCTCTAGGAAGTTGGTGGCAAGGGACAGCACTCACACTCTTCTGGTCATGATCTCTGATCTCCACCTCAAATGACAATAAAAAACTGGTCCAACGAAGACACTGCTCAGCACTTCAGCCATCAGGACTAATCCATCGATGACTGGAAAAGAGGCTAGCTTTGAGGAAAACAGCCTGGGCTCTTGGGAGCAGAGTCCAGTGGGTGTGAGGCTGACTTGCCGACGGTCGGCAGGTAATGGCTCTCAGCCGGCGAGGCGGTCCCACAGCTCTCCTCCCAGGGCAGCCTGAGGAGGAGGAGGCCGGGTGCCTGTTTGGTGGCAGCTTCAGCCTAGGGATACCTGAAGCTGTTGAGCAACACCTTTATGAAATGTTGCCAGAGCAGCAACACTTCCCTGTGGGCACAGCCCCGGGAAATCCGGTACCAAGTGAGCAAGGTGGCAGGACCCACCCAAGCCTGATACGCATCTGGGCCCGCCGGGCTCAGCAGGGGAGGCTGCTACGGCTGCCCACTTCCCAGCACCGTCTGTCACGCTTGAACCCCTCTGTGCTGTTCCCTTCCTGGCTAATAGGGAGACCCTTCGCAGGCACCCACTGTTTCAACTTGACCCTCCCACCCCCTGCTACTCTCCTCCACACACCCCTCCGTTCCGCTAGCCTACCCTGTCAGCCTTTCAATAAAAGTTATGCACAAATGTGAACACCTGAGATGGAGCTGAACATTTCTTCACTTTGTTCTTTTTCTGAAGTCAAACTCTTATCAAATGCCCTAAAATTATTACCACCCAAGAGAAACAGGAAAAAGGTTACATGTTTTTGTTTACTGAGAGTAAGATCACCTGCATCTGGAAGACGGGCTGGTAAATTGGTTTGGCTACAGAACAGAAAGAAAACAAAAACAAACCTCGTAAGGGAAGTATCACACTCAGACACCACCGCTTCCTAGAGCCAAATGAGCAATCCCAAACTGCAAGTGCCATAAGTGGGCCTGTGAGGTCACACCGCCCGGCCCGAGGTATCGCATGTGCGGGGGAGGTCCACACTACAGCTGTCCTCTCGTCTAGAAGGCACCACCTCGCTTTCATGTCCCGTGTGTTTTGGAAAAGCAGTATGGTGTGTCATGTCTAGCGGCGAACACTTCCCTCCCTGTCCTTGAGGTTGTAATATAAAAACTGTGTTTCTGTACGTGTGGGTGGGAATTCTCTGACGGTGCTCGTTCATAGCACAAGCTTACGCTGAGTTCTGAACTGTCGTTCACAGCTGCGTGTCTGCATGGTGTCGCATCTGTTGTACCTTTGGGGAAAATTTGTATGTAAATGTACAGAAATAAAAACGTTGCCCCATTAACAGATTTCCTCTGGAATGTCTTCCCTACCTCACCTGATGGTATCCACCGAAGGGCATTTCACTACCATTAATGGTGAGTAATAAAATCCTCCGTGTTCATTCAGACCTCACTGCGTCACTACTTTGAACGCCTCTGTAAGCTGTGTCTTCACTCGCCCCGAGGTGGGTGGAGGGAGGCCTCTCACTCTGCTTCGAGTCCTGGTCTTAAAGGTAGTCAGAGGCAGAGGCTGGATTAAACACACACTGTTTACCAAGTGCCACTCTCAGACCACCTGAGAGACGGGGGCCATCAGTAAAATTAAGAGGAATTTTTTTCCCTTGTTCGTGTATGTTCTGCTGATCCGTGGCCTGAAGGTTCCTAGAGACGTCAAGAAATGAATATCTTACACTGTGATTCTGTGAGGAAAGACTGGTAACCCAAAACTCTCTTCTCTAATGTATTTTTTAACGAAAATGACAATATTTCTTTAATAAAGTATTTATACCAAACTCTTCTCTCCATAGCCCTGATTTTGTGTCACTCGCTATTATATTTCTAGAGAGGTGTCCACTCAGCTTTGCAAGCTGCGACGAGGCTGGCCGGGGCCTCGAGGTTAGCACGGGAAGTCTGCAAAGGAGGGAAGCACCCGGAACTACAGACTCACTCCTCCGACGTGCCTTTCCATCCTGGCCAGGGTCACTACCTTCACTTGCCTGCTGCTGGCTCAGTGCAAGACTTTTGCCTCTGGATGAACAAAAAGGGTTCAGACGGACCCCAAAGATTAGAAAGTTCTTTGCCAGTGGTCCTCAACCTTGCCTGCACGGAGGCACCAGGGGAGCTTTCAATCCTGCCAAAGCCTGGGCCCCAGACCATCTGAACCTCTGGAGAAGGCCCAAGACTGGAACCCACTCCAAGTGGTGGGATTAAAGATTAAACGCTAAAGAGTACAAATGACCAAAGCAGGTACCTGAGGTACTCTGGATTTGGGATAGAAGAGAGGGGAGAAGGGAAGACGATGAAATAACAGGAAGAGAAAGAAGGACCTGAAGCCTCTGAATCCATAAAAAGGAAGGAAATCAAACTATAATTGACATCTAAGTGCCACGGCACTTATAGTTTGCAAAGCATTTCTACCTACGTGCTTAATCCTAAAAAGAACCCACCAAGGTGGGGATTACTCCAACTTTATAGATGAGGAGACAAAGCCTAGAGAAGTCAGACTTCACAAGACCGCAAATGCAGTAATGGGGCAGTGTAGGGAGGTGCTCAAATGTAGGCCCAAGAGAGAACACAGCAAAAAAGGAGTGCCCAGAGGAGGGGTTTAGGGAGAACACAGCAAGAAGAGACGTGCCCTGGGGTTTCACTGCAATGAGGAGATAAATGCATCAATTCACAAGGCAGAATTCTGAGGAATGCACACACAAATCTAAAGCATATTTATACATCACTTTAATTCTAATTGAGGATGCACGTCACAGTCATGTCTGATTGAAACTCTTAGATTACAGTCTTCAATCCCAACAAAAATCCCATTTCATCCCTCTATCACTCACAGCCAAATGAGGAAGTATATACTGCCCACTTTGCCTCTCCTTCACCAGGTGGGTCAGTATGAGCCTTTTGGCCCACACACTGCTGAGAAGGAAGCTCAAAAGATTAACCCCTTAAAAACAAAACGGGAGCGCGGCCTGATGACAAACTGAAATTCAATCCATTTATTTACACGTACATTGTACATAAGTTTACAAATTCTCACTTCTGCCACTCAGCTAGAACTTTTCGGGGAAAGCCTCCATCTCTTCCTTGATCCTGTTTTCTACAAGTAATGCGAAGTTACTGTCTGTGTTCTGAAGGTTATAGCTGACAAACACCTGTTTGTTGGTCTTCCTGGCTAAAAAGAGAAAACACATTGATACAGCCACTCCTGAAATACTGCAGGCCCCGTGTTCCTCACAGCCACGTGCAGCTGGGAAATGCTCAGAAAGAGGATGGGGTTGTAGGGAGAAAAGAAAGCTCTAATCTCCATGCCTCTCTTCAGACAGGTGCTGCAAATGCAGACGAGTCACTCAGGCCTCTCCCAGTCTCTCCACCAGACCCAGGGTTCTGAAGGGCAGGCCCCACCTCAGCAGCCTCCCTGGAACTTGTTCGAGAGGCAGCTGCTGGGCCCCACCCAGCCCTCCTGACCCAGAAAGCCAGGATTTGGGGCCAGCTGTCTGCTGGAACAGATCCTGCAGGTGCCCCGCACTGCTTAAGAACCTCTGCCCTACACAGAGGGGTTTCTGGTGTTTTGATTTAAAAAAAAAAAAAAAAATTTAAACACAAAAAATGGCCGGGAGCGGTGGCTCACGCCCATAATCCCAGCACTTTGGGAGGCCGAGACGGGTGGATCATAAGGTCAGGAGATCGAGACCATCCTGGCTAACACGTTGAAACCCCGTCTCTACTAAAAATACAAAAAATTAGCCGGGCATGGTGGCGGGCGCCTGTAGTCCCAGCTACTCGGGAGGCTGAGGCAGGAGAATGGCGTGAACCCGGGAGGCGGAGCTTGCAGTGAGCCAAGATCGCGCCACTGCACTCCAGCCTGGGCAATAGAGCAAGACTCCGTCTCAAAAAAAAATAAGTATTTAAAATAAAATATTAAAGTTCTCCTTCAGCACCACCCCACCCCAACCAGTTCCACTTCCCTCCCTCCTACGTTTCCATGCATTTGCATATATGTGTATACACACAAATATATTTGTGTGTGTGTGCACAGATAGGCATATGGACACACACGTAATTTTCTACTGAATGTAAGTTTTAGTCCCCTTCTACAGAATCAATAGAAAATGGCTGAGGTGCACATTGGGCCAACTGCAAAAATCAAGCAGAGTCATACACCTGGAATCTGAAAGCCAATATCCTGAAAATACGTGGGCAAAAAGGCTAAAGCAGTTGGATGTTGCCTGCCCCACTGCGCGGCCTCCTCCTTTAGCCTCACCCATACGCAGGGCCAGTGCAGAACTACTCACCCCTGGAGAGGCACTGACCCACCCCCACCTCAACATATGGCAAGCATGTACTTAGCCTCATCACCAAAAGGCAAAAGGGTGGTGCGGTGAGGCTGAGGGCACCAGGCCACCTGCACCATTACTAAAGGCCGATTTAGAACACACGTCATGGGATCTCATCTGGGCAGCAGTTCTGTCCTTTCAGTTGCTGCCATCTGAGCTATGGTCCCACCAAGAACCCTGAGAGGCAGTGTGGCTCAGGGGCGCAGGTGCAGGCGCAGGCCCAGGCCCCACCGTGGCCTGGAAACCTCTCCCAGCTTTGTTTGGAAATTGAGGAGAGGGAGAGCCCAGGACCCCAAAAGCCTGTTTTTCCGCTGTACAAGGCTGCGTGATTTTTAGGGCTGGAAAGGTCTTGGGTATTAACTCACTGACTGTCCTTACAAAGCAGCCAACACACCTATGAAAAAGCAAGGCGGCGGCAAGCACAGCCTCTGCCTGAGGACAGCTGCTGAATTGTATGACATGTGTTTACGTCTCGGTAAAGCTGTTTTTTTATTAAAAAAAAAAAAAAAGGAATGTGTCCGGACAAAGGCAGCTGTTCGGTTATTCCAAGAGCTGGTGTTTAAAGAACAGCTTACAGTACTTAGCACAGAGCCTCCCACCAGTGTGCTGGGTGCAGTGTGCCCCCGAGGCGGAGAGTTGTGCCCAGTTATCTGCTCAGCCCTGCGGGGAGTGAGGAAGCCTCTTAGGCTTCCCCCACCATTAGGGACCAACCTCATCCTTTCCTAGCTGTGTTAGGCAGGCTGGGACCACTCATGTAGAGGGTGATCTAAAGGCAGGCAGTGTGGTAGGAAGCTGGGGCTCACCAAGGCTGCCTAGGAGGAGCCTGTAAGTCACACCCTGCCCTATATCCCAGGGGCAGGAACATCCCCCTTTACCCTAAGGGGGCCCCCCTGGTATTCCAACTGTTCTAACTGCAGAGACAGGATTTCTGAGGAACAACGCTGTGTCTGGAGGCACTGAGCCCCTCAGACCCAAGCTGTGCCCCTCCAGGGCCATAGGAGGTTGGGTCCCCTTGGCCACACCAACTCCTGCGATGCTTCCAGAGCTACTGAGAACCCCCCAGGCCTTCTCTTTCCCTACCTGCTTTCATCTCTCATATAAGATACTGATTCAGGACACCTCTCCCTTTTCATTATAGTGCATTTTCAACTTGAGGGCCCAGACCCAGGCTCAAGGCAACTGGCAAAGCATGGGACTTTGCTGGAAAACCTTCTTGGTCCGAGCTCTGCAGCACCATTCCCTTAAGAGACGCCGGAAGCCACGGCACACCCGTGACTTGTTGAGACAGTCGAGATACTGAGAACCCCTCTTTTTTGCATATAGATACTAGGCCTCCATCTCGCAAATATTCTGGAGACTAATTTACCTTATTGATATGAAAGTTATTCACGGCCTGCCAGACAAGCTCACACCACCTTCTCTATGGGAGTGTGTCCGCAACCCCACCCAGCTTTCCGTCTGTATAAATATGAATACCTTCCTGAGCCTTCTCCCACACGCAGTAACCTGTTCCATGTAAGTGTGCTACCCCTTACACAGTCACACACACAGAGTGACACAGACACAAAAGGCAGCTTTACTTTCATGTGGCTCAGAAAAAAAAAGATACAAACACAAAGAGGGAAGGGTGGCAAGTGGGAAATTGGGGCAAAAGCTAAGCAGGAATTCTATCTTCTTTGCAACTTTTCTGTAAATTTTAAATTTACTTCCTAGTTAAAAATTACCAAATTAACTTACAAGTCAGGTCCCCACCTCCAAGGGAGGGAAAAAGAATACTGCGAGTTCCTGAAATGCTGACCTGTGCCCTCCCTGACCTCTGTCCTATCCACATACTGTCATGGGCCTGCTGGTGACACTCCACCCTGCCCTGCCTTCCCCCTGGGCCAGGTGCCATGCTATTCGTGTGCATTTGCCTCAGTGTGACTGACACAGAGGTTCCTGCTTGTCAGGTACCAGGTCCTGTGCCTGAGACACAGAGAAGACTCCAGAGCAGAAGCAGCTGGGCCTACTGGAGAACGCCAGGCCTGGGCAGGAGACAGGCATCCTGTGCACACTGGCCACAGGCACTGGGGCTGGGGGTCGCAGAGCACATGGAAGCCTTACCTGGCCCACAGGAAGTGTGTTGGGGTGTGGGAAGAGTGGAGCATTCAGCCTCATGACCTTTGCTTAATCCCCACTCTACGCCACACTCACAGGCCAGGCCAGTCTTCCCTCCGAGCCCTGAACGGTATCACACTGAGTGAGGACAGTCCTTCCTGCACAGAGGTGACACCTGCTCCACCAGCTGCACTGACTCCTCCTAAGGCCCGGGAGGCTACCTTGAGCCACCACCCACAGGGGCTGTGGGCACTTCTCATGCTCTCCTCCCAGGAGGTGGTGATGCACTTACGGAAGGCAACTAAATCAGCTCATGGACTCAAGGACACACCCAAGGACGAGGTGGGAGTCCTTTGGGAACAGGCCAGCCCTGGGACGGTGGTGATGACAGGCGAGCATGGAATGTGCCCCTTAAATAAGACCCAACGTGCAAAGGTCTGTGCTTCCCAGCAGCAATGAGGTGATGGTTCTTAGCATAAAGATGCTTTACTTCCGAAGGGACTTGCTTCATGGTTCCATTAAAGAGTGGGCCCCACCTGGCTGGCCATGCAGCGCCAGCTGTGGGTACATACCTAGGCGCTGGGCAAGGCCAGTAGAGGTCGTGTCGGAAGTGTCTCCAAGGAGGGAGGTAGACACGGGGATGGAGTCCTAAAAGAAAAGCAAAGGGCACACTGCAGCTTCTCCACCCCCCGCAGGCCAGCCACACTTCTGGCTTCCGGGCTTCTGATTCTTCACGACGATGGCAGTGGCAGGTTCAGAGAGGACAGGCACAGGTGCCGAGGGAAAGAGGGGTGGCGTCCGTCAACAACCAAGTAGGTGGACCCCATGTCGCATATGAGGTCAGCGGAGTTGGGAAAGATGAAGCTGGAACCACAGTGCTACTAAGTTCTAGGACCAGTTTCACACGAAAGGCTCGTTTTAGTGTCTCAAACTCCAAAGCATGCTGAAGGGCAACACCACAACCAAAAGGGAAGCAAACAAGATCATTAAGGCTACAGCAAGAAGAAAGTGACTCACAGTCGGGGCACCTGTGCACTGGTGCCTCGTGCCCCACAGCAGCTGGCTCAGAGGCAGGATGCCTAATCTCCTCATCTCAGCCTGTGAGGGAGCATGCTGCTCCAGCCCCTGTGGGCTCCTCAGGGTCAGCGAGTGCCTTGTGACTTTGATACAAAGGGCACCAGCCACCAGCATCTAAATAGGGAAAATAACTTCTGAACATGCTTGGCCAACCTCATTTCAGACAAGAAGCAGTAAGGTGAAACAAGCAGTACAAATGATTCTCAGATCAACAAATGGGCCCTCCGGCGATGTGGGAGTAACTGCTCCCAACTACTTTGGGAGTAATCTCTCACCATTAACAATGTCTAGCTAGTCCCAGAATCCCAGCACTTTGGGAGCCTGTGGAGGGAGGACTGCTTGAGACCAGGAGTTTGAGACCAGCCTGGACAATGAAGTAAGATCTGTCTCTACATTTTTATTAAAAATAATAATAAAAAAATAAAGTAAGAAGGTCTAGCTTCCAAAGGGGGAAAAAAAAAACACTTATTGGTAATATGGCCAAAATTGCTTTTATCAAAATAGCAGATTTCTAGGAGAAGCAGCCTGGCTACAGAGGTCTGAGAATCTTGGAAAGTGGCAAGGTTTTTAGAGGTACAGAGACTTTGGGGTTTGGTTCCCCTGCCACCCCAACTGTCCTGGTGGGGACAAGTTAACTGAACAAACAGCTACTGTGTGCCAGACAGTATGGCAGGGCAGAGACCACAGGCGCTGCTCATCTCCTAAAGGTTCAAAGCCACTTCCACAAAAGACAATAAAAGGCAGGAGATCAAAAAACACAGGAGAAGAATGAAAGCATTTACTGTATGCTTCTTCACTAAAAACGATACAAAAATATCTTAATGAGCCTGCTGTTTACAGATTCCTCAAGTTCAACATTTAGCTGCATGGTAATAGTATGTACAGTTAAACCTTCTAGAAAAAAGAAAATCTACCTTACCCAGGGTGGCCTTTTTCTACCAAAAGTTAAATGTAAAGCCCCATCGTGTCACCCTTAATAGTTCATTACTTCCGACATCACACTAGGACTGTGGTCTCCCAGCAGATGCCCAGGGAGTTCTGCTGCAGCTGAAGCACCACCTTCCACTCCTAGAGGCCGGGCGGGGGGTCCAAGAATCCCTGAGCAGGCACGGGCCCAGGTCCCAGGCCAGCTTCCCTCAAGCTGGTAGGACTCAGTGTCACTAGTCCTGCAGCCTCTCTGGGCACCAAAAATCCCTGCTCAACCCAAGGTCAGCCAGCTCCGGGTTGCATGGTGTCTGTTCTCTACAGTCTCACATGTGGGAGTTTAGGGAAGCTGGAGGGAAGAGACCTCACAGACCGTCTGGTGCCATTCTCCACGTGTGGGCTGGCAAAATTCCTGAGAGGGACCAGATAGTAACTAGTTCAGGCTTTATGGATTACAAAGTCTCTATTACAACTGCTCAGCCCTGCCACCAAGGTACAAGAGCTCCACAGAGTCTACCTGCATGGACGGTAGATGGAGGGCTGGCCCACGGGTCACAGGTGGACAGTAGATGGAGGGCCGCCCCACGGGTCACAGGAACCTTGGGCTTCCTGCCTTAAGCTAATGCCTACACCTCTTTTCCCCAGCTGGCTCGGCTCTCTGCCCCTGGAGAGAACACCCAGGCACACTGCGGCCAGTGAGAGGGACTGGACTTCTGACAAGTCAGGTAACTCAATCAATCCCCTGTTCCTTTTCCTGCCTGGCTTTGCTGGAGGGGCACTTTCCAGATGAGAAAATATACCTCACTGGGAGCTGTGACCACCATGGGGTCGGGTGACCAAAACCACCCACAGGAGGAGCCTACTTCTTCCAAACTTACCAGCCCAAACCAGCACTGCACAAAGTGGCACAAGGCAGCGACACCAGATCTGACCAGTGCCCAAAGCCCTGCCCACTATGCCTTGGGATAAAGAGAGAATGCGAGGTGGCACAGAGCACACAGCCCCACCCATCACCCCTGGTCCCCCAGGCCTCTTCCGCTGCCGCCTGCTCAAAGGTCCACTGCCAGGACCCTCCAGGAAAGAAAAAAAGAAAAAAGGAAAAGGAAAAGAAAAGCAAGAAAGGAATCCAGATGCCATCTCCTTCCCAAGGCCTTCCCAGGTGCCGCTGTGCACAGCTAAGAGGCTCACCCATGACTTCCTGCCCCCAGCACCCTCAGTCATCACTGCCTCACTGGCTTCAGAAGGGTCTCGCTGAGGGGGCCTCACTCATTCATTCCACAGGGACTTAGAGAGCGGTGCATCAGGAGCTAGAGAAACAGACGCTCACCCTGGGCAAGCAGACAAACCTCACCGTGAAACACTCAACGGCTGAGAGAGGGAGCTAATGCGGCTGGGAGGCCAGCACTGCCCAGCTCGAGGACAGGCAGGAGCTCTAAGAGGTAACAGAGCCCGAAGGTCACTGGAGTCTTCGAGTGCTCCGAGTTCACCTCGTGAAAGGTTTTGAGCAGAGAAATGAAAATATCCAACTTCAGTCTTAAAACTATCATTCTGTTGCCCTGGTTACAAGGCAGTGTTGTGGCCTGAATTGTGTCTCCCCAAAAAATATGTTGAAGTCCTAACCTCTGGGTACCTATGAATGTGACCTTGTTTGTAAACAGGGTCTCTGCAGATGTAAATAAGATGTAATTTAGACCAGGCGCGGCGGCTAACGCCTATAATCCCGGCACTTTAGGATAAAGATTAGCATAAAGATTCTTTACTTCCAAAGGGACTTGCTTGCCTTTGGGAGGCCGAGGCAGGCGGATCACGAGGTCAGAATTTCGAGATCAGCCTGGCCAACATAATGAAACCTCAGCTCTACTGAAACTACAAAAATTAGCCCGGCGTGATGGCTCACACCTGTAATCCCAGCTACTCAGGAGGGTGAGGCAGAACTGCTTGAACCTGGGAGGCGGAGGTTGCAGTAAGCCAAGATCACGCCATTGCACTCCAGCCTGGGCGACAGAGCAAGACTTTGCTTCAAAAAAAAAAAAAAAAAATATATATATATATACAATTTAAGACAAGGTTATACTGGAGTAGGATGGGCCCTTAATCCAACATTACTGATGTCCTTATGAGAAGAGTCGGGCTCACTGAGGAAGGAGGATCATCACTTGAGGCCAGGAGTTCAAGAACAGCCTGGGCAAAATAGTGAGACCCCCATCTCTACAAAAAAACACAATTAGCCAGGTATGGTGGCACATGTCTGTAGTCCTAGCTACTCGGGAGGCTGAGGAAGGAGGATCACTTAAGCCCAGGAGTTTGAGGTGACAGTGAGCTATAATAATGACACTGTACCCCAGCCTGGGTGACAGTGAGAGACCTTGTCTACAGATCTTTGAGAATAAACCTCTGTTGTTTTAAGCCACGCGGTCTGTGGCACTTTCTTACAGCTGCCTCAGGAAACCAGGAGAAACCAGGCGGCGACACGCAAAGCCGGAAAGGCGGGAGAGGAGGGGAAATGATAATGTCCCAGGCTTGGCCCAGCGCGGCAGGGTGAAGGTGAGGGCGGCTTGGGTTTTGTCTGCTTTGACTGGCGGCAGTGCCTAGGGACTCAGCACGTGGAGTGTGAAGAAAGAGGAATCAAAGACAACTGCGAGGCTCTGAACGCACAGCCAGGAAGATGGAGCTGCCATCACAGCGCCAGTCAGGCGGAGGAGGGAGCAGGTTTGGAGAAGAGAGCCTGATGTGTGCCTAGTGCGAAATGCCTGAGACATCCAGTGGAGACGCAAGAGTCCCCAAAAAATTATCAGTGTGCTCAAAATCCAGATGGCAGGAGAGCTACGAGGCAGACGCGTCCCCCAGCGAGCGTGTGGCGAGGACAGACCCAAGACATTCTGACCTACAGAGACCAGTGCGGGACGCAGCTGCGGGGCGGCGGGACAAGGAGAGGGGCCCGGGGCCCGCGCGCAGCTCCCGAGGTGGTGCAGGCCCTGGCGCCCGCGGGCTTCCTAAGACATCCCACGGGTGGGCTTCGGGGGAGTAGGGCGCCCTGTGGACCCAAGAGAAGCCTGGGGGGCTGCAGCTCGCGCAGGCCCGGCGCCCCCGCGCCCCCGCCCCGCCGCCCGCACCCTCGGCCGCCAGGCACTCACGTAGCGGCTGCACATGGCCACGGCGAGGTTGCGCAGGTGCGGCGTGGCCCCCACCCACAGGAACAGCGAGTCCGTCAGCCGCATGACGTGGAAGTGGACCAGCTGCTCCCACAGCCTCGCGCTGAAGTTGTGCAGGGAGACGTCCCCGCCGGCGGCGACAACCAGCCCCTCCATGCCGCCCCACGGCTCCCGGCCCACAGCGCCAGACCCGGGTCCTCGCCGCTGCCAGCCCCGCCAGACCCGATGGAGCGAGCACCGAGAGACCGAGCGCGCTTTCGCTTTCGGCCCCGGAAGGGCGGGGGTGAGGGGCGTGGTCGGGGAGGGGCGATCCCGGGCTTGGGTTGGGGGCGTGGTCGAGGCGGGGCGGCTGCCGGCCCTGGGCGGAGTAGCTGTCCCTGGTTGTCTTGCTGGCCTCTCCCGCACACCAGTACCTCTCTGGACGGGCTGGGGAAACCCACTTGAGTAGCAGAGTGCGACAGTGACCTCTAGGAGTCCACGGGCGCCCAGCAGAACTCACCCTCGCTTTGTTTCCCCCCACCCCCTAATTATTACTGACGCGGGGCATTCAAGGGCTGAAGCCAGCCGCACCGTCCTCCCAGGCCGTGACACTTCGCCCTACAGACATTAATTTAATTAAAAATTTAAAAAGACTGATTTTTAATTAGTTCTTCAAGCACTCTGAGAACGGCCACCTCCCGTCCCACCTCCTCCTCCTAGCAGCCCTTTAACTCCAAGGAGGCTTCGACGGCACCCAGCCCTAATTAAGAATGGCAACGGTATTGGGAGAAAGCCTTTAGAAAGGAAAATTGTGTCAACTAAGTTGGCAGGAGGATGGGCAGGCACCCTTTTGGACGCCGAGTCCCAAGCTGCAGTCATGTACATGGCCTCGGGCTACCCCCTTAACCTCTCTGAGACTCAGTTTCCTCATCTGCAAAATGCAAATAAGAACAGGTGCCTTTCGGAGACGTGGAAAGGATCTCAAGAGAGATTAATGGGAAGCACCAACAATCATCCAATCATCCCATTGTCATACCTATGGGGAGACCCCTTGAACACTTCAGGACATTACAGAGTTGAGAAAAGGAAGCCTTGATGGGTTAAGAGAGAAGGTGGTAAAAGAAAACAGCCCATTTTGTCAGATTCTGTTACAACTGACTTTAGAGATTTAACTTGGAACTATAAAAGGTCTGCTTTAAAAATCTCTAATAGATCTAAGTTGACTAAATTGAAATTTAAGAGGGCATTTTCCATAGTTCTATTTGCTAATTATCGATGATTCAATAATACAGTTAATTTTCAGGTCAATATTTTAACAGCTTTATTAAAATGTGATTAACATACAATAACTGCACATATATAGTGTACAAATTGAAGTCTTGACACGTTATAGCCAGTGAAATCATCATCACAATCCACAAAGTGAACGCGTCCAGTACTCCCTCCTGCCCTCAGTAATGACTCCTGCCCCCAACCACTGATCTGCTTCCTGCCACACAGATTAGTCTGCATTTTCCAGAGTTTTGTATCAGTGGAATCACACAGTATGTACTGTTTTTTGTCCAGCTTCTTTCCTTCATCATAATTATCTTGGGTTCATCTGCTTGTGTGTCAATGGCTTGTGTCTTTGTATTACTAAGCAGTGTTCCATTGTATGGCTACACCATAATTGTTTTATCCCTTTACTTTGTGATTTGAGGCCCTTCAATCAGCTAGGAGGACCCAAAGATTAAGGAAACAAAGTTACCGACCGGTGGAGAGTTCAAGGCCTGGCTGGCATGGCAAATTTCTCAATCTGGATTGTAATGATGGTTTCACTGGTTATACATGTCTCAAAACCTCAATGCTCCTCTCTCTCTCCAGCTTTGCTGTCACTGCTCGGGAAACACACAGGCAGAGGGTCACAGCCAGTCATGCCCAACATCAGCGGCCCTGGAACACTGCCCTGCAGTCCCTAGACAGCGTCCTCTCTCACTCCCCTTGACTATGCTCCCCAAACCCTGAGCTGACCCAAACCCAAGTTCAGCAGATGCCCTTGCTTCTGATGTTATGCAGAAAATAGAGGTGACAAAGCCAGATTTTCCCAGCTCCTTGTCCCTCTCCTAAAATGCTTATCTTCATTGGACCCTATCTTTCCTTCTGCTCACTCTGTGACAGTGAAAGATAAAGATGTCCCTCCTTGTACAGAAGGTCAATCCATCCACCTGTGCTCTGACCCTGTCCTTTCACGTCCTCAGGAACCCCCCTCATTATCTGTGATGCGTCTCCAAAGAGCCTGCATGTGCCACCTAGGTCCACTTCAAAAAAAACTTGTCCCAACTGCTACAAATCCTACCTTCTGCCACGGCCTCCTCTAGAGTCTGCACACCCTCCCCGTGGCAGCCCACATACAATAACTGATGGAGGCAGACTATGAAAGCCAGGCCAGTTTGCCCCAGTGCAGAACAACTCACAACTCTGATGGGCCATTTTGGCTCCAGAGTGCCCAGGGAGTCAGCCCACCCTGCCTACTGCAAGGGCGGTATTCACCTTACACTATCAAAAGAAATCAAGAATGGATGGTCAGGCGGCTGAATGTTGTCACCCCCCAAAAACATTATGATGCCTGGGCCTGGAACCCAACAACTGGAGAGGTGACCAGGTCCCCGGCACCACCATGTGCCGTAACAATCGCCCCAGCCGTTCCCCAAATGACCGAGTGGCTGGCCACACATCACAGGAGGAGGAAGATGCAACATTTGAAGGGTTAGAGCTGGAATTGAGATCTGGGGAAACTGAAGTGTCATCACAGTCCTTCTCGAGTGGGGAACCATCCATACAGGAACAGAAAATAAAGGGAGTCCTCGCCAAAGGTCCACTGGGTCTGTGGACCCATCAGGGGTCATTTCCCTGGTCCTCAAATGTATAACTGGGATATATATACCTAGAAATTAGCCCAGCACCCACATTGGATCTGTGCCCTATAGGGTAGGAGCTATCATAGTGGAGAAAACCAAGTGGAAGCTTCTAGAATTATTGCCCTTCCCCCAGCCAAGCAAGCATGTCAAAAACAGTATTCCATCCTGGGGAGGATGGTGAAAATTTGTGCCACCCTTCAGGAGCCAAAGGATGCAGTGGTGGTAGACTTCATATTGCTATTTAATTCAGTCAAGTCCTGGAAGATGGCAATTGACTTCTATAAACCCAACCAAGAAGCAATCCCCATTGTGGCTGCCATAGCAGATGTGGAATCTTTGCTAGAGTGGTGTGATAATGCCATAGGTACATGGTACGTGACCAAGGATGCAGCAAATGTGTTTTCTATCCCAATCAGGAAAGAGGAAGACAAAACAATTTGCATTCACGTGAGATGGACGACATTCATTTACAGTTTTGCCCACAATTCTAATCTCTGCCCTGTCTGAAAAGATTGGGACTCTCTGGACATTCCACAGAATATCACATTGGTGCATTTGCCCACTGCCACCTGTTTTACCAATACCCCTTCTTCAGTTCCTGCTTTTGGCCATAGGAGGGATCTCATACAAATCACTTAAGGCTCTCGGACTCGTTTGTCTGTGGGCGCAAGCTACAAATAGATGACAGCTGCACTTCTGCCTCACTCAGGCAGTGGGTCTGGGTAACCATCTCATGTAAACAGAACAGCAGCCCAAGGTTGGAGTCTATACAGACTCATGGGCAGTGGGGAATGACCTGGCCAGGCAGTTTAGGTACCTTTGGGGAGAAAGACGGGAAGATAAAAGAGGTGGTGGTCTGAGAAGGGGCATGTGGCTGGAGTGTCCACGAAGTGTGAAAATCCTTGTCATGTTATCACTCAACAAACATCATCCACCACAGGAAAAATTAAGCAACTACATAGAATGACTCCACCAGTTGCCGTTAGCCTCATCCACCACTCTCCCAGGATGGGCACCGATAGACCCGTAAGACAGCCGTGGTAACACAGAACCCAACAGCATGGAAGGCTTACCAGAGTTGATTTTGCTCCTGCTGCCACCAAACATCCTACTTCCACCAGAGCGCACATGTAAGCCGTCAGTATGGCCCTGCTCCTCAAAGAGAATGACCAATACGTGGTAAGCTGGTGATGTTGTGCTCCTATGCAGCCAACTTCTTAGGAATAGAAGCATATTCCAAGTGTGTTTGTTCCTGTCCAGAGAATCAGAAAGCGCCATTATCCCAGCGCTCCCACATGGGAGTGCGCTAGGTCCATGGGATCCACAGCCACATCACATGCTCTGCAACACCCAACAGCTGACACCCAGTGAGAGAATGGCTGAAGCACCAGCTCAGAGATCATTCACTTACAAGGTCGGAGTCACCCTCCAGCATCTCATGTTCACCCTGAGTTAAAGTGTTTTCTAAGGTCCCACTGTGTCCAGAATTGGTGTCTTGTTGCTCTGACCCCAAGCATTCAGCCAGACCCTACAGGTGAGCATTACAGTTTTTAAAAGAGGCACAGGGGGAGTTTGTTTTTTCTGGTGTCCAGGCGCATCCCACAGCTTCTTTCTGTTGAGTTTAGTGGTTTCGCAGCTTGAAGGAACAAAGCTGTAGGCCTTCACAATCAGTGTTACACCTCTTAAAGCTACGCCTACTGGAATTATTTACTTCCATCGTTGGGTTCCCAGCCTCACAAACCCCGAGAACAAATCTGCACACCTTCCAGATAATTGTTACAGCTCATAAACCCAACACATACACAAAAAACCACCAGCAACAATATTTATCTAAAAAGACACACAAAAAAAGCAGAAAACTATTACAGCACAAAGCCATACCTCCTCAGATGTGCCACCAACAGCAGGTCGGGCAGCCTGCTTTTATTCCCTTATCTGACCCCACCCACATCCTGCTGATTGGCCCATTTTACAGAGAGCTGATTGGTCCATTTTACAGAGAGCTGATTGGTCTGTTTTACAGAGAGCTGATTGGTCCGTTTTACAGAGAGCTGATTGGTCCGTTTTACAAAGAGCAGATGCGTCCATTTTTTGACAGGATGCTGATTGGTGCGTTTACAATCCCTGAGCTAGACACAGAGTGCTGATTGGTGTATTTACAATCCTTTAGCTAGACATAAAAGTTCTCCAAGTCCCTACCAGATTGGGAAGACACAGAGTGCTGATTAGCGCATATATAATTCTCCAGAGGGACATGAAAGTTGTTTAAGTCCCCACCCAATTCAGGAGCCCAGCTGGGTTTCCTAAGTGGATCCCCCGCCAGCGCCACGGGCGGAGCTGCCAGTCACCGCCTGCATTATTCAGCCGTTGGGCGGTCGATGGGACCGGTCGCCGAGAAGCAGGGGGTGGCACTTGCCGGGGAGGCTTGGGCCGCGCGGGAGCCCACCGCGGGGGTGTTAGACATGGCGGGTTGCAGGTCCCGAGCCTTGCTCTGCGGGGAGGCGGTTGAGTCCCGGTGAAAATTCTAGCGCGGCGCGGGCGGGCCGGCAGTGCTGGGGGACCCGGGGCCCCTTCCACAGCTGTTGTCCGGGGTGCTAAGTTCTTAACTGTGCAGGGCCGGTGGCGCCGGCCGGTTGCTCCGAGCGCGGGGCATGCCAAGCCCGCGCCCACCCGGAACTCGCGCTGAGCGCCCCGCCCAGCCCTTGTTCCCGCCCGCGCCTGTCGGTCCACGCCTTCCTGCAAGCAGAGGGAGTCGGCTCCAGCCTCGGCCAGCCCCAGAGAGGGGCTCCCATAGTGCAGCGGCGGACTAGAGGGCTCCTCAAGCGCGGCGAGAGAGGACGTCGAGGCAGAAGAGGCACCGACAGCGAGCGAGGGCAGCTAGCAGGTTGTCACCTTTTACCATGTCCCCAGTGAAAAGACTACAAGAAACAGGGAACCAAGAAGTGGAGGCAAAAATGGCTGTCACTTCCAACAGTCCACTGAGGAGAGTGGGCTTCCCAAACCTGCGCCTGTGGACTGCAGGATTAGAAGCCCCATATCCCAAAGGGAGAACACTTCCACCTGAGACTTAGCAAGAGCCCCGTTAAGCAGTAAGCCATGGCTGCTGTGGGGCACTTTGGGCTCCTTGGTGAGTTGAGAACAGTCACCATCCTGGCAAGGGAGATCCACCCTGGTCATCAGCAGGAAGAGGGCTGTTGACACCCTGTGGGAGGAGCAAGGAAGGTATTCGGTACTCAGCTGATCTACTTGGGCGCCACAGGGGACTCCCTTGCCCAACTGTGACAGTAAATGGAGGAAACAGCAACTCCAGCCTGGGAAGGGCAGATCCCCTTGCCAGGGAAGAACTGTCGCCCAGCTGCTGGGAGCACAGAGCCTTCAAGTGTCATCCCCCATAGGGATTTGTTCAGCTCCTGAGAACTGCCTTGCCTAAGGTCTTTCCTGTGGGGACTTTCTGTTGAAGACAACGGATTAAAGGCATGGCCACTTGGGCGCAATGTGCATGGTCAATTCTGACAGCCGCTTTCGCCCTTTCTGGCTGATTTTGTTCCTCAACTAAAGTGAATCTGTGGCTAGCATTGCTCTCAGAGCCACAGGCACACCCAGCAGCCTGCAGGCGTTCCCACCTGACTCACAGCACCGGCCCCTCGGCGCAACCACACTGAGCAGCTCCTCCCTTCCTCTCCTGTCCTACCCGCGGCCAGCTTGCCTGACTGTGTTCCGGACAGTGGTGCACAGACCAGACGCATTCATTTCCCAACCGTAAATATGAGACTCTTCCCAGTTACTGCAGCAGCGCTGCCTGCTCACATCTCCCACACTGGCCTGCACTGCTGCTGTGACATTCTGATGTTTCCTTGCTTCTTGTTTCACTGGCTTCCAATTTTTCTTTCTCACTATTGCCAGAGAGATCTATTGAAGCAATATGTCTGATGATGCTACGCCTTCTAATAATTCTTTGGTGATGTGTAGCCCAAACACCTTTGCAGACACACAAGGCCCCTCACCTAGCTGCTGGTCCCCTTCGTGTCTGTCCCTGATGTCACGCTCAGGCAATAACTCCACAGTTCAGTATCTGCCCCGTGTACCACCACACACGGCGCCACTGGGCCTGGGCCTGCCCTGCCTTACCTGCCTGAGAGACTAGTACTCCTGAGGTTCACCCCAACACCACCCCTCAGGGAAGCCTTCCCTGGCTCCAGGCAGGCTGGCGGCAGCTTCTCTTGGCCCTCATTTTTACCTCCTATAGAGCAATCATTGTATGCAATGTAAAATAAGATATATTTTATGTAATGGTCTTTCTGCATGCCCACCTTCCTCTCAGGAAGCTCCTAAGGATAGCGACAGGGCCTTTCGTCTGCAGTGCAGTGCACAGCCTTGGACTCTGCATGTAAGGCAGATAGCGAAAGTTGATTGAATGGTTGAGTGAGAGAACACAGAAGGACCTCACTGCAGGCCTCATCAGGGTCTTAGGCTCTAGTCCTAGCTCTACCACTAATTATCTCTATACCTTTATTCTAGGTCTGTTATCTTAGCTGTAAATTGAGACGATTGGCTTAGATCGTCTCTAAGGCGCCTTCCCGAGCTAATACCCTATGAAGATCAGATAAGAGAGCCGAATGGTAACTGGAGCCCTTCACTGCCGCCCATGTCATTCTGCAGGGGGCCACTAGGTGGCAGGTGGGAAGGAAGCGGGCAGGTTGAGAGCTGCCTTTGCTTTCAGAAAGCGATGGGAGTTACTGGATTCTTGCTCCTGCAGATCACTCGGGCAGGACAGTTTATTTCTCCAGATTCTGCAATTGCAGATGAAGCACGGGGGTCCTGGTCCCCGGGTAGTTCACAGCCCACAAATGTAAAACCGCCCAGCAGCAGAAGGCGAAAGAGGCCGATTCGAAGAGAAAAAGCAAGGTTTCCTAGGGTGTTTGATTCACCCCCTCCTCTTTCTCCGACCAGGTTAGATTGTGAGCCTTTGTCTGGCATGAATTTCATTAAGAACAAAGATTCAAAGATGATGGATAAGAAAACTGCTCCGTGACCAGCTGGGCAAGGTGGCTCACATCTGTAATCCCAGTGCTTTGGGAGGCCGAGGTGGGAGGACTACATGAAGTCAGGAGTTTGAGGTCAGCCTGGCAACATAGTGAGAACTTGTCTCTACAAAAAATGAAAACTTAGCCAGGCGTGGTGGTGTGCACCTGTAGACTCAGCTACTTTGGAGGCTGAGGTGGGAGGATCACTTGAGTCCAGGAGTTCCAGGCTGCAGTGAGCTATGATTATACCACTGCACTCCAGCCTGGGCGATAGAATGAGATCCTGTCTCAAAACAACAACAAAAATCTTCCTTTGATCATACATTCACTCTGATTACCTCCCCGTATCTCTGCTTCCCTCTACAGCAAAACTCCTGGAAAAAGGCTTCATATGTGCTGTTTTCAATTCCTCTCTTCCCTTGCTCTTGTGAACTCGCTTCTTTCCTGACATTTCACTAAACTGCTTCCACCAAGGTCACCACGCCACATCTTAGTCTCTTCCTTGCTCAACGGGCAGCATTTGATTTCTGGGGCGCTGCTCTGTCTTGGTGCCTCGTCCCTCCAGGTCCCTCCTTCTCAGGCTCCTTGGCTGGTTCTTCGTCATAGTCCCACCTGTGCAGCAGAAGCGTCCAGCGTCCTATTCTCTCCAGCTCCGCAGCCCATGGCTTAATTCCTTCTGCACACGGATGACTCCCACACTGGTTTCTCTGGAGCCAACCTCTCGCCTGAGCTCCAGTGCATATGGTCAGCTGCCTACTCGGCATCTCCATCAGAAACCTCCAACTTACTGTGCGGTTTCCCTCCAAGCCTGCTTTCCCACAGGCTTCCCCATCTCAGCAGCACCTGCATTCTTCCAGCTGTGGGTCCCAGCTGTCCCCACTCACCCTTCACAAGCACAGACAAAACACTTTGGCCAGCAGCAGCCGTTTCCCAGTACACAAAAGAAGAAGGCTTGCCCAAGTTCTGATGTCATCAGGCCCTGGTTCAAAAGGAAAAATAGGATAATCCTGTTTCGTCCAGAGGAAAAAGGCTTAAAGTGGATGGAAACAAGTTAAGCCTCACATCACTGTGATTCACAGGCAGAATCAACCAGAATGAGATTTTTCTATAACTCTTCCTAAAATGTCAATACAGTTTTCTTAACCGAGCAAGTGTCAATACAGCCCTGCCCTACCCAGAGGACAGCTCTGGCCTTAGACCCTGGGCAACCCCATGAAGGGCATTAGGGAGGCACCCTGTCTTCACTCCACCCGACCCCTGCTGCTGTGGAGGCAGGGGCAGCAGGAGCCCAAATTTTACCTTCCCCAACCCTGCCCCTGCGGTGTAGGGCCAGCCCTGGGCTGTGGCTCAGTAGGAACCATGAGTGATGAATAAAAAGATTCCTCCCCATCAGGCTAGGCCTGGGGGGCAGCCCAGCTTTTTTACCCACTTGCTTTAGGGAAGGGCAGTAACAAGATGGCAGATTAAGCACAGCACAACAGAAAGGAGATTTCCAGCATGAGAGCAGTTGGGTAGTTGGTCCTCATCTTGCTAACCCTTTCTTCCAGCAGATTTTCTATGCACTGAGCTCCGTGCACACTATTGTGTATTTGATTGGATCTCCAGGCACAGACAGCTTGTTGCAGAGACAAGACCAGCAAACACAGAATGAAAACCAACAATAGAAGACAGAGCATGAAACACCACACAGTTCAGGAGTAAGAAGGGGCTGAGCCAGGCTGGTCAGGTAGCTGGGCCTGAGATGTCAGGGTGAGTTAGGCTAGAGGAAGAGAAGAGGGTGTGCTGGGCAGGGGAAATGGGTGAGCAGTGCTGTAGGGCAGCATGGGACGGGGGGTAGAGTAGCCTAGTGGGGTAAGAGTCAGGTCATATATTTGAAGAGCCTCACAGAAATCCCAGCAAAGCCAAACATGGTGGCATCCACCTGTAGTCCCAGCTCCTCAGGAGGCTCAGGTGGGAGGATCGATTTAGCCCAGGAGTCAGAGGCTGCAGTGAGCTATGATCCCGCCACTGCACTCCAGCCTGGGCAACAGAGTGAGACCCTGTCTCTAAATAAATTAATTAAATAAAGTAAAAATAAAATACAAATCCCGAGGCAGCAGGTATAATGACTCACTTTTCTTTTTTTCTTTCTTTCTTTTCTTTTTTTTTTTTTTTGAGATGGAGTTTAGCTTTTGTTGCCCAGGCTGGATTGCAATGCTTGATGTCGGCTCACTGCAACCTCTGCTTCCTGGGTTCAAGCAATTCTTCTGCCTCAGCCTCCCTAGTAGCTGGGATTACAGCCATGCCTGGCTAATTTTGTACTTTTTGTAGAGACGGGGTTTTGCCATGTTGGCCAGGCTGGTCTCGAACTGCTGACCTCAGGTGATGCACCCGCCTCAGCCTCCCAAAGTGCTAGGATTGCAGGCGTGAGCCACCGCACCCAGCCATGACTCACTTTTCAAAAAAGGAACTGAACGCTGAATAAATGAAGAGCCCACAAGGCACTTAGTCGCTGAGGGTGGAGCTGAGGCTTGGATCCTGGACCACCTCCCTGCACCCCTTTCCAGGTGGAAGAGTGGGGATCCCAGGCAGGGATGGAGGGTGAGGATCCGTGAGGAGCTATGGGGTGCTGAACAGAGGACCTGAATTTAAGTGAACACGCAGGCTTCCAGGCAAGGTCAGGCACCGTGCACACAGTGGCGAGGAGTGTAGCCACCACCTCTCCGAAATCAGCTCCAAACAGGCCCTCCAGGTAGACAGCAGTCCTGGGGCCATGTCACCAAAGCCAGTGGGAACTGTTCCACCTGCTCACTCTGGGTTTCTTATCCCAGATCTCAAAATCTCCAGCACAACCCCAAAGGTCCAGTGTTTCCATTAAAATGTGGGTCTCAATGTGATTTTATTTTGTGACTGTTAATGCTTTTTAGCTAAACGAATTCACGCATATGGGAAGGGGGAATCCCTCCCCAGATGGTGTGTACCCTCGTTTGGGTTGGAAAATATGTGGTTGCACATATGTGTGATTGTGGAGGGGCTACCTGACAGCTTTGGAAGGCACGCATGATCAGTGGGGCACAGTGAGACTCCCCGAGGATAAGCAAAGACACAACTCTCCCGTCCCACGAAAGAGAATTTATATCCTGGGTCCAAATCATGCCTAGTGAAAGAGCACCTTGTCTTCCGGGTAAAGCTTCCCAAGTTTTATTAGAATCCTCAGCCTGACTTCAGAGCGTTGTGCCTAAGATACGCAATCATGGAGGCTGGCAGAACAAAAGGCTGTTTCTCTCCGTCTCTCTCCTGCTGAAACGGATCATGTGATACAGAAGCAGATTCATCTGCAAGGCCCTGCGTGGGTGGGAGGGGCAGGTGGGCTGCTCGGAGCTCGCCTTGGGGTTTTGCTGAGAACGTCAAAGCCCTTTTCCCGCACCGGTGGCCGGACTCTGCATGAGTCACCGCCTGCCTGCAAGCCCAGAGCTCGCCGCACCCCCCTGCCTCTCCGCACCGTCCCACAGGCTGTGACCCTCCACCCAGCCATAGACGGTTCTGCTCTTGGCACAAAGGAGGGCTTCTTAGCCGGGAATATGGCTGCCCGGGAGGGGCGACTTCTGTGCTTGTTTTTCCTTCCTGGCACTGAAAACAAGCACATCCACCCAACAAATAAAGACGCGGTCAATGAAAGCAGCTGTGTTTCAAGGGGAGACAGGGAGCAAGCCAAGGAATAAATGAAAAGACCCAGTGACAAAATGCCCATTCATCGGGTTCACTCGGCAAACATTTACTGAAGCATCTGTGTGCCAGGCACTGTCCTGAGTGCTGGGAAGACACAAAGATGCCCTTCAGAACGATGACCCCCGCCTCGCCCTCCGCTGGAACCGGGAGGCAGACACACACATAAATACGACACAGTCAACCGTCCCCAGTTCACAGCATCTAAAGGAGCTAGGAATGCATGGGATGCTTATGGAATGTGCGAGAACACGGGTGAGTCTCACAAAAAGAATGTACACGGAGTACATACTGTCGGATTCCATTTCTATCAACTCCTGAAGCCTGCAGAGCTAACACCTACTGCTGGAGGGCAAGGCAGTAGCTGCTTGTTGGGGTAGGAGATGAGGAGAACACCAAGTGGGCTTCTGGAATGCTGGACACCCGTGGTCAGTGCACCTTTTTTTTTTCCAAATTGAGACAGGGTCTCACTCTGTTGTCCAGGCTAGAGTGCAGTGGTGTGATCATAGCTCACTACAGCCTTGACCTCCTGGGCT
Source organism: Homo sapiens (assembly GCF_000001405.40). NCBI lineage: Eukaryota > Metazoa > Chordata > Mammalia > Primates > Hominidae > Homo > Homo sapiens. Next base: position 3,247,037 of record NC_000006.12, on the reverse strand, counting down.
CAAGTAATCCTCCCACCTCAGCCTCCCAAGTGGCTGCGACTACAAGTACATGCCACCACACCTGGCTAATTTTGTTTATTTTTTGTAGAGACAAAGTCTCACTGTGTTCCCAGGCTGATCCCCAACTCCTGAGCTCAAGCCAGCCACCAGCCTTGGCCTCCCAAAGTGCTGGGATTACAGGCGTGAGCCACCACGCCGGGCCCAGATGAACAGGTAAGAGACACAAGCAGCTCTGGGAACTGCAAGGTGATTAGAAGATGGGGGCAAGACTGAGCACAAAGGCGGGAGAGCACAGGATGGAGCAGGTTAGGAAGCTGGTACAGGAATCAGGACAGCGATGCCAAGGTAAGGAAGGCATCGGGGGTACAGGAAAAAGCAGAACTAAATTCAGCAAAATGCTCCCAGTTGACCAGATCCTATGGAAAAACCCTCAGCTGAACGCCTGGGGCACCCACTTACAAAGGCAATCTTATCTTATAAAGAGAGGGAATTCTCACACAGGTCACAGCATGGATGAACCTTGAGGACATTTGCTAAGTGAGAGACAAAAAAGGACAAATACTGTATGAGTCCACTCATAGGCGGTGGCTAGAGTAATTAAATTCACATAAAAAAACAGAAAGTAGAATGGGAGTGGCCAAGGGCTGCGGGAACAGCAAATTGGTGTTTAATGGGGACAGAGTTTTAGTTTGGGGAGATGAAAAGTTCTGGAATGGACGGTGGTGACAGTTGCACCCCCATGCTTCATGCCACTGAACTGTGCACTTAGAAATGGTTAACGTGGCAAATTTTATGCTATGTGGTTTTTATCACAATGAAAATTTTAAAATTTAAAAAGTTGGGGCTGGGCGCAGTGACTCAGGCCTGTAATCCCAGCACTTTGGGAGCCAGGGGCAGGCGGATCACTTGAGGCCAGGAGTTCGAGACCAGCCTGGCCAACATGGTGAAACCCTGTCCCTACTAAAAATACAAAATTTAGCTGGGCATGGTGGCGGATGCCTGTAATCCCAGCTACTTGGAAGGCTGAAGCAGGAGAATCGCTTGAACCCGGGAGGCGGAAGTTGCAGTGAGCCAAGATCACACCACTGCACTCCAGCCTGGGTGACAGAGCAAGACTCCGTCTCAAAAAAATAAATAAAAACATAAAAAATAAATAAATAAAAAGCAACCCTGGCCTGGAAGGTCTGTCATCTTAGGTATATTTTTAACCAAGAAGTCCCATCACCCTAATGAGATTCTGTATACTTTGCTGCCCAAACCATAACAGGTCCTCCTCCAATAACCCAAAATAATTCACAGATTGTTACCGACTCTACAAATATCTTATTTTATAATTTTTCAGTCTTATGAATCAATTTCATTTCCAAGAGCCCTGTTGGGTAAGTAGCCCAATTTCTGAACACTCCTCTCTTGAAGCTGTTGCTAAGAACCCACCATCCCCAGCTTCTCAGCATGGTAGGAACCATGACTTAGCCATTGCCTCCTCTATGCCTAGTACTATCCTAGGTCCTTCTTTAAACCATTTCTATCCCTCACAGTAACCCCATGAGGAAGATATTATTTCAAAGTCAGGCTGAGGAGGCCAAACATCAGACCAGTTGTGTAACTTGCCCCCGGGTCCATGCAGTGGGTTGAGAGTGAAACCAGGATTCCTGGCATAAAGTCTGCGCTTTTCCCACTCATTCCACGTAGCTCCTAGTGCTTTCTTCCATGGCGATGGCATTGAAGTGCAGATCCGTCTTCTCAGTCCTGACTCCTAGACTTTTCCCTCCAACCCCCAAGGTGATGGGATAAAGAGATAGGGCCTTTGGGAAGTTAGTGCTGTTATTAAAAAGGCCCCAGGCTGGGTGCAATAGCTCACGCCTATAATCCCAGCACTTTGGGAGGCTGAGACAGGTAGATCACCTGAGGTCAGGAGTTCGAGACGAGCCTGGACAACATGGTGAATCCCCGTCTCTACCAAAAATACAAAAATTAGCTGGGCATGGTAGCACACACCTATAGTCCCAGCTGCTTGGGAGGCTGAGGCAGGAGAATCTCTGGAACCCAGGAGGTGGAGGTTGCAGTGAGCCGAGGTTTCAGTGAGCCGAGATTGCGTCATTGCACTCCAGCCTAGGTGACAGAGCAAGACTCCATCTCCAAAAAAAAAAAAAAAAATTAAAAGGCGCCAGAGAGCTGCTTTCTCCTTCAGCCACATAAGGGCACAACAACAAGGTGCCACGAAGCAAAGAGCCCTCACCAGACATGGAATCTGCGGGCGCCTTCTCAGCCTCCAGAACTATCAGCAATAAATTTCTGTTGTTTATAAATTCCCCAGTCTAAGATACTTTGTTATAGCAACCTAAATGGACTGAGACTGACACCCATTGTGTAATATAACACTGATGATAACTGTTCCAATCACTGGGCACCTACCCTGTGTCAGGAACTGCATTTATGAGCTTTAGGTGTTGACAGTAACCATATCGGGAGGTATTAATATTCCTTGTTTCCGCCTTTTTTTTTAGTGTGCCATTTGATTCCAAATGCTATGCTCTTCCCACTTGGCTCTTCTGTTTTGTTTGTGCAATCTGGGTTCGTCTCGGAAGTGTGTATTTAAGGTTCTCTCCAGGTTAGAGAGAATGTGGCAGCATGCCTGATGATGTCACCCACTGCTTCTGTTATACCCTGCCCAGCTTACCCCTTCCCTCTGGGCCTTTTATAGGACCTTGTATTTAGTCCAACAACAACAATAGCACAACACCCATAAACAAAACACCTCTGCATATAATACAATGTACTTGCCTACTTGCTGACTGAAAGAGCTCCCACAGCCTCCCAGGTGCTGCCCTGCGCTTGGAGCAAAGCCTATCTGAGGCTGAAGAATGAGTAAGTCACCACCTGAATCCTGCCCTCCAGCCAGCTCTCTTCATCATGGAAATTCTTGGAGCAGAGTGGAAGGGAACCTGAGAGGAGAGATGGCACCTTCACTGATTCCTCCTTTATCTTTCCAGACTTCATGGCTGAGACAGAGCTGAGAGCAGAGAAAACAGACTCATAAAATCCTGGCAGAATCTTTCCATTCTAATAGGTAGGTTGGGGTGTGGTGGCTCATGCCTGTAATCCTAGCCCTTTGGGAGGCTGAGGCAGGAGGACCACCTGAGCTCAGGAGTTCAAGACCAGCCTGGGCAACATAGTGAGACCCTGTCTCTACGAAAAATAATAATAAAAAACAATTGGCCAGGCATCATGGCATGCACCTGTAGTCCCAGCTGTTCAGAAGGCTGAGGTGGGAGGATCACTTGAGGCCAGCAGGTTGAGGCTGCAGTGAGCTGAGATGGCGTCACTGTGGGCAACAGTGGGAGACCCTATCTCAAAAAGCAAACAAACAAACTCTAATCGCCGTTAAAGTTAAATGATCTACAATCTGGCTTTATGCTAGGGTAAACTGTCTTCTCACAGCTGGAAATGAAAATTCCCTATAGTAGTTGGAGGGCTCCCGACCCCCAGCCTCCCAACCTACCACACTCCAACTTTGTCTGTGCCCTGCCACGAACACTTTTCTAGAAGAGACCCCTTCTGCCACCCCACGTTTGCCACAGTGGGCTCCTCAAAGTGCTCATCCAGGAGACTGAAGATTCTAAGTTTCCAACCCAGAGACTGGAGCCAACAGAATCCCTTTTCCAGGACTTAGCATTTGGGACTCACAGAGATTTCCTCTCCCTCATTGGGCGACTGGGCTATAACAGTGGGCTTCAAAGTGAAGCTAGTAGACTGGGGACATGAAGACGTTGGAGGGGTGCAGAGTCATGAATAGCTGTCAAGGATTGGTTTCCAGATCTAAAATTGACACCTATAGTCTTTCCTATACAGACATGCTCTACTGGCGAGTGTTCTGGTTCTGAGAGCTTGTCTTTCTTTATCAACTGCCCTTTCAAGCTCAAGCTTCCCCTATTGCACAGAAGAAATGCAAGCCTCTTCCCTTCTGGAATCGCACCATGGGCAGTACTCCAGAGAGTGGAAACTCTCTGACACCAAACAAGGGACAATTCAAGAATAAATGGCACCTGAGTCCCAGGAGGGCAAAGCAGAGTGAGAAAAGAATTAGTGAGTGATGTGGAAAGGACAACATCCTTTCATCCCAGAGTCAAAGCCCCGGCAAGCCTCCAGGCCTCAGCGCTCCCTCTGTCTTACAGCACAAAAACACCTTTTGTGGATGGGAAAGGACTCAGGACGTGATCAGACTGGCCTGCTGAGAGTATCATAGGGAAGTGCTGGATGGGTTCATGGAAAGAAGTATACACAGATGAGGAACAGCAGAAAGGCATGGTAGGTGGAAATCACTGGAAAAAGTAGAAATCATCATCAGTTATTAACAAAGAATTGAGTTGAATTATATGTAGAAACATAGAGGGGTGATAGTATTGAATTTTACATTCACTTATTATGGCAATATAGTTTAAGGTGACAATTTTTCAAAAGGAGGGACAATGCAAACATCTCATACACATAAGAAGGAGAAAGGGTCAGGCGCGGAGGCTCACACCTGCAATCCCAGTACTTTGGGAGGCTGAGGCAGGTGGATCATCTGAGTTCAGGAGTTCGAGACCAGCTGGCCAATATGGTGAAACCCCATCTCGACTAAATACAAAAAAATTAGCTGGAAGTGGTGGCACATGCCTGTAATCTGTAATCCCAGGTACTTGGAGGACTGAGGCAGGAAAATTGCTTGAACCCGGGAGGCAGAGGTTGCAGTGAGCCAAGATTGCGCCATTGCACTCCAGCCTGGGCAACGAGAGGGAAACTTGATCAAAAAAAAAAAAAAAAAAAAAGGAGAAAGATTGCAGAGGCATCTCCAAGGCAGAAGACAGGCCTGGGGGTCAGGCAGAAGTGAAGACAGCTATGTGCAGCTTGCTGGTTACACATATGCACACACACACACCCATATACTCAATCACCTGCCAAAGGCACAGAAATGGGCCCGCAACTACCCTTGGTCTTTTTTGGAGTACTTTCAGTGGTTAGGCTAATCACACTTAAGAATAATTATTGATCAACCCAAATGCCCATCAGTGATAGACTAGATAAAGAAAATGTGGAACTTATACAGCATGGAATACTATGCAGCCATAAAAAAGAATGAGTTCATGTCCTTTGCAGGGACATGGATGAACCTGGAAACCATCATTCTCAGCAAACTAACACAGGAACCGAAAACCAAACACCACATGTTCTCACTC